>NC_000012.12:107914673-108066188 GCF_000001405.40 Homo sapiens
CAGGTCACCGACTTGTAAGTTGCTGAAGTGGGATTTGAACCCATGTGGTCTGGCTCCATAGTCCACGCACTGAGCTAGGGCCTAACCAGGCTTCGAGCCTAGACAAAACACAGGTCCTGACCTGCCTTCATCCTGTGCAGGTCGTGGAGTTCATTGGAATGTGATGGGAAGGAGGAGAAGAAGGAGAAGGTGATGGAGAGTCTCCTGGAGGCAGCTGAATTTTTGGCATGGCCGAGAAGACCTGGGGTGGACCCTTGACCCGCATTGGGCCCACTCTTGCTTCTCTCCCGGGAACTAAGACTTAGGATTTATGAATGCTGGTCTGTCTGTGCAGGAATGGTGTGTGAGGGTATGTAAGCTAGGGAACTGAGTGGTGACATCTGCCCTGGACACTGGGAGGACATTTGGGAAAGATGGAGCAGCAAGTAGAGAGAGAAGCAGAGATGGGGGAGCAATTCAAGGGGAGAGTGAGAAGGGAGAGAACCAAGAGGGAGAGGGAGAGGAAGATAGAGAGGGAGGCAGAAGGACAGGGTCAGGGACAGGGCTAAGAAGGAATGGAGAGAGAGAGAGGATGGAGGAAAAGAGGGAGAAAAACAGACATATATATACACACACACACACATACACACACATATATACATATATGTATACATATATGTGTATATATACATATGTGTGTATATATATGTGTGTATACATATGTGTATATATACGTATATATACACATATATGTGTGTATATATATACACACACACAGAGCAGACACACACACACACACAATCCATTTCTCCGGTGCCTGCATGTTAGTCCCAGTGGTTCTCTGCTCCTGCCTGGGAGAATCTACTGTCCCTTGCACCAGGGGTGGCACAGACATGGGATGGTTGGGACCTCTGGCTGGACCCTTCAGCAACCAGACCCTGGCCCACACCTGATGCTGTGGTGGATGAAGGGAATCCCAGCAACTGTTGCTCTCAGGCCCCAAAAGAAGTTGTCCAGTGGAGTCAGGAGGTTTACAGTATGTCTGGGAATACATTTTCCTCCAATCCTGTCTTGCTCTTGCCAACAATTTCCCAGGCAAATAGTGAATTGTTTTATTTGTTTGCTTTATGTTTTGAAGAGAGGGAGGCAGCATGGTGATTTGTGAAGGGCTGAACTCAGACAGACCTAGGTTTAAGTTCTGGTCATCTCACTTGCTGTGTGACCTTGGACAAGTCACTTCACTTCTCTGAGCCTCTCTCCAACAACGGGGCTAATAATCCCTGCCTTATAAAGTTGTGGTGATGATTAAAAAGTGGCTGGGAATGGTAGCTCTTGGAAATAGTAGACAGTCAATAAATGTCAGTTTTCTGCTCTTCAGTCCTTTAAAGTTACTGTACAGCAGGTCCTGGAATAATACTAAAATGTTTCATTATAATGTTGGTGAGAAAAAGAAAAATCAATTCCCAGCCAAGGCCATCATCTGGGTGCAGTCTGTACATTCTCCCCATGTGTTCATGGGTTTTCTCTGGCTCTCTGGTTTCCTCTCATATTCCCAGGATGTGCACATCAAGTGAATTGGCATGTCTAAATGGGCCCAGTCTGGGCCAGGTGTGGTGGCTTACACCTGTAATCCCAGCCCTTTGGGAAACCAAGGAGGGAGGATCACTTGAGCCCAAGGGTTCAAGACCAGCCTGGGCAACATGGTGAAACCCTATCTCTCCAAAGAATACAAAAATTATCGGGGGGTAGTGGTGCACCCCTGTAGTCCCAGCTACTTGGGAGGCTGAGGTGGGTGGATCACCTGAGCCTGGGAGGTCAAGACTGCAGTGAGCTGTGATCACGCCACTGCTCACCAGCCTGGGTGACAGAGAGGGACTCTGTTTCAAAAAAAATAAATAAAATGGCCCCATCTGAGTGAGTGTGGGTGTGGGTGTGAGTGTGCTCTGTGAGGGGATGGCATCCTGTCCAGTGTGGTTTATTGCCTTGTGCCCTGAGCTGCCAGGATAGGCTGTGGCCACCTGCAACCCTGAATTGGAATTACTGGGTTAATGATTATCTTACTTGTTTTTATTAATCTTTCTTAAGTGTATGTATAGCTCACATTTATTTCAATGTTTAATACTAGAAATGTTTTGGTCTTCATTTAGAAGTTTAGTGATGTTTGGCCGGGCGCGGTGGCTCACGCCTGTAATCCCAGCACTTTGGGAGGCTGAGGGGGGCGGATCACGAGGTCGGGAGATCGAGACCATCGTGGCTAACACAGTGAAACACCGTCTCTACTAAAAATAGAAAAAATTAGCTGGGCGTGGTGGCAGGTGCTTGTAGTCCCAGCTACTCGGGAGGCTGAGGCAGGAAAACGGCGTGAACCCGGGAGACGGAGCTTGCAGTGAGCCAAGATTGCGCCACTGCACTCCAGCCTGGGCAACAGAGCGAGACTCCATCTCAAAAAAAAAAAAAAAAAAAGTTTGGTGATGTTTTTGTGGCCAGAAATATGCCTGTAGAAACTTAACTCTAGTTAATATCCATTAGCCTATGGTAACATCGGTGTTGTAGTACATTGTTTCACTTAAAGTTGCAGTTTCCAAGAATCTGTTAATGACATTAGGTGAGGACTTACCCTATTAGTAAAATTTACACTTGACAAGATTTTAAAAAATATTTTTCACTGACAAATAGAATTGTATTTACTTGTCTGTTATTTCAATAAATTCACAGGAATGAAACTAACATCTGGCACCTATATTTTAACTTTTTAATGTTCTTACTACTGACTGTAAATGATAAATATAACAAGGAAATTTTTATCAACATATAAATGCTTTTCTCAAACATAGTGGGCTCTTTCTCTGGTTGATTGTGCTGATGAAGATGGCAGTAATGGCTTCCATTTCTTGAGCACTCACTGTGTGCCTGTCGTGTTGGTGATGATGAAGATGGTAGTACTGGCTTCCATTTCTTGAGCACTGCTGTGTGCCTATCCTGATGGTGATGATGAAGATGCAGTAACAGCTTCCATTTCTTGAGCACTCACTACCGTGTGCCTGTCCTGATGGTGATGATGAAGATGTAGTAGTGGCTCCCATTTCTTGAGCACTACTGTGTACCTGCTTTGCACTTTACTTGAGTTATCCCATTTGCCCTTCATAACTCTGTGAGGGGCTCCTATTGGGATCTCCTCTGCAGAAGATGACGGGGAGAAAAGGAGGATGGACAAAGGTGAAGGGACAGCATGGTGCTCCTCCTTGCTGATCCACGTGGTTGGAATGGAGGCTGAGAGAAAAAATGGGCAGAGCCAGAAATCCCAGGACCTGGTGTTAGTGGGATGTGGGGCTCAGCTGCCCACCTGTGGCCCAGAGCAGTGGAGGATGCCTTGGCTGTGCCCTGGCACACAGCCCTCTACCTCCCTGGCATCTGAGCACTGGGGACTGTGGCAGTGGGGTCAGTGCCCTCAGCTGGACACAGAGCAGAACTTGAGAAATATGGGCCCCTGAGCCCACAGGACCCAGAGACCCAGCACCCAGGGAGGCTTGGGTGTAGAAGAGGGACGCCCTCAGCTAGCACATGGGGGCTTGAGGTCCTGTTGACTTCTAAGGGACCTCATCTGATCTCCCCGCTGGGGACATCCAGCATGCAGGCTTCCTTCCTGGCTCCTCTGTCAACCTTTGTCCCAGCCTTCAAACTTTCTCTTCCCAATGCCATTCTGACACTTCGTCAGTTCCCCTTCTAGTCCACTAGATGCTGCTCTGCACCCACCTGAGCACCACCATTTCTAATTCCTTCGATCCTAGTTTGGTAGAGACAGGTGAGCTGGTCAGCCCTTTCCCAGGAGGCAGACTGGAGACCAGAGTGCTTACCAGGGCTCTTTGCCATACGGTAATGATTTAAACTTCAATCACTGTAACTTGTGGAGCTCTTTTCACGGATTAGCTCCGGTAACCCCCACAGGCCCCCATGATGTATGTTCCCATCCTACATATGAGGAAATAGTATCTCAGGGAGATGATGTGACTTGCTCAGGGTTACACAGCAAATACCTGGACAGGGTGTGACTTGACAAAGCTTTTTGTCCAAGTTAAAATGCCAGAGACATAATATTGCAATAATGCCAGTAGAAGTTGCTATTTATTAAGCTCCTACTACTGGGCGAAGCTTGCAGAATACAGAGATGAATATGACAGACCTATTCCATGGGCAGTTTGTCATGTGTCCACTCCCCTGGGAACCTCAAGGGCAGCGCCCATGTGTCCCCAGCACTGAGCACAGAGCATGCCATAGAGGAGGGTCTCAGCTAATGTTGGCTGAATCAGTGAATGAACTGCTGTAGGCTATACAATAAGCACTTTGGTCTTGGGACCCTTTTTCATCTATAAAAGGGAAGGTGGAGGACAGATTCTCCCACTTGTCTTATCAAGGGTCCCATTTTTGGGTGTGTTGGCTTAATCACACAGGCCCATCCCTAAGGTCCCTTCTGGTTCTGCAGTGCTGCCACCTATCATTGGTGGTTTATCTTTTCCAGGAGTATTGTTTCTTTAGTTACCATTGATGTATGCCCCAGAGCCCTCTACTGCCCTGGCATCTGAGCACTGGGGGACTGGGGAGCAGGGGCAGTGCCCTTAGCTGGACATGGACAGATGGAGCATAACTCAAGATTTCTTTGGAGCCTTAAACACTGTAGGGAATATGACGAACTCTATAGATACTTCCCCCAGAAAAACACATTCATGCCTACGTTTTACATACAATTTCAGGGCTTCCTAGAGCCTAAGTTAGCATCACTACTGTAGAGGATTCTTGAAGACCATAAGATATCAAGAACGAAAGAATCATATCTCAACTGGTAGCATTATCTGTTCAATCAACACATTCTTATTGCTACTAAGTGCCATATATAACTTTAGCATCCAGCTCAGTTAGGAGGGAGCTTTTGGGCAGCAGGGGGTCCAGTCAATGAACTCTCAGCTCTCAGGCCACACCTGCTGATGGGGCTCCTGGTGGTTTTCATAGCTTCTCACCTCCGCGGTGCACTTGCAACTTTTTCTCCCTCCTGGTCCCTCTCTTCAGAGCCCTTTAGAGCAGGCTTATACAAAATGAGTGTGGAGAATCCTGAATTATCCCCAACTTGTAGCCTTGTTCTTTAGTACTCATGGTCAAGTTTATCCCAAAGGTTAGCAAAATCAGCTGCTCTCAGGGTTATAAGTTCAAAGCCACTCTCATCGCAACTTCCTCAACAAAATGTCAGAAATATCTTCCTCTCCACTTTTGTTAATAATAATTTTTAAAAAGCCTTGGCTGTTCATTGGGCACATAGGTATTGAGTACTTTGGGGGCAGCTGAGACTATGGGGTGAAGGAGATTATATCTTTGGATGAGGCACGGTGGATGGGGGCAGGATGAACTGATGGCTGGCTGTAAGTGTCAATCCATGTTTTATAGGGTTCAAAACTGCCACAGTTTTGTGGACTGCTTTAAGAAAAAAAATTGTAAAATTTCAGTTCAAAAGTGAATAGTTATTTAGAATTAGAGGAGAAACTGCAAAAGCCATCAATTTAAGAAAACTGAGAAATGTGACTGACATCACAAAATTTGGAAAAAATAACATTTAAAATAATTGTGTGTAATGCTTTATTCCTGATTTATTTATTTTTTGCCTTCATAGTGTTTGATTACTCCTACAGATAGCACTAATTTTATAATATTTGGTATAGAAAGAGTAAAAGTATATTACAGGTTTTCTTCCATCATGAAGGATAGAAATCTGTTCTCTATTAATCACAGTTTAGAAAAAAATATTGGTGTCACATATAATTATTTGTAATGTCATGTTGATTTTAAGGATTGTTGTCAAATTTGGGCAAGCCCTATATCAAGATTCTTACATATGTGAACTGTCAGATTTCTGGGGATTTTGGGTCGTGTGTGTGTGTGTGTGTGTGTGTGTGTGAAAGAGCGAGAGAGACAGAGATAACTGGTTAAACTTAAATACTCCTGGAGGTAATGACACTCATTAATCAATCTGTCACTAATATAAATATGTAAAGAGTTTTGTGTTATCTTCATTTTATGTTAAATCAGAACTTTATATAATCCTGCAATATGTTGATAAACTTTATTCTTCTTCATTAATTTGGTTATTGAACAATCTACGTGCCTAGTCTTTGATTCTATTTGAAATGTATCTCTTCCTCTTTATGAATTTCTGCTTTTGGTATGATAGGAAAGGTTTTGTTATAACTCTCATTGTTTGGCACATTTATAATTACATACACTGTGCTATCAAGTATATTCCAATAGAGAGAACTTCTATTTTGATTCACCTTTGATCAGATTAAAGTCTGCTTCTTGTGGTTTTATATATCCTAGCATGGGAACAAAAAATGGAGCCTCTGGTGCCACTGATTTCAAAATTCATTTCTCCTTCACTTCCCACGTGGTTCTGGTGCAAGCACTACAGGATATGTTCCCATCGTGGGATTACATCTGGCCCTGCACCTTTGTGTTAGTTAGCTTTGTGTTAGTTAGCACCTTTCAGTTAGCTCTCTATAGAGCTGAACTGAAACAGTATCCCTGGAAGTTACTCCTACTCCAGGATGATGAGCAATAACTTACCTATGTACTGAAGTGGCTGCTTACCGCATTGATATATCTCACAGAACCTCAACAAAGAACATCCATAACTCAGCTGTCTCATACCCACACAACACGGGGACAATTAACCAATGGGAAGTCAGGATGCAAAGAAAAAGATGATTGCTTGGTAGGCTATTAATTACTGCCTCAATTTCAGAATTTGTTATTGGTCTATTCAGGTATTCGACTTCAGATGGATTCATAGCTGAATTCTACCAGAGGTACAAAGAGGAGCTGGTGCCATTCCTTCTGAAACTATTCCAAACAATTGAAATGGAGGGACTCCTCCCTAACTCATTTTATGAAACCAGCATCATTCTGATACCAAAACCTGGCAAAGACAAAACAAAGAAAACTTCAGGCCAATATCCTGATGAACATCAATGCAAAAATCCTCAGTAAAATACTGGCAAACTGAATCCAGCAGCACATCAAAAAACGTATCCTCCATGATCATGTCAGCTTCATCCCTAGGATGCAAGGCTGGTTAAACATATGCAAATCAATAAACCTAATCCATAACACAAACAGAACCAAAGACAAAAACCACATGATTATCTCAATAGATGCAGAAAAGGCCTTCGATAAAATTCAACATCGCTTCATGTTAAAAACTCTTAATAAACTAGGTATTGATGGAACACATCTCAAAATAATGAGAGCTATTTATGACAAACCCACAGCCAATATCATATTGAACGGACAAAAGCTGGAAGCACTCCCTTTGAAAACTAGTATGAGACAAGGATGCCCTCCCTTACCACTCCTATTCAACATAGTATTAGGAGTCCTGGCCAGGGCAATCAGGCAAGAGAAGGAAATAAATTGTATTCAAATAGGAAGAGAGGAAGTCAAATTGTCTTTGTTTGAAAATGATATGATTCTATTTTAGAAAACCCCATCATCACAGCCCCAAAACTCCTTAAGCTGATAAGCAACTTCAGCAAAGTCAGGATACAAAATCAATGTGCAAGAATCACAAGCATTCCTTTACACCAACAATAGACAAGCAGAGAGTCAAATCATGAATGAACTCCCATTCACAATTACCACAAAGAGAATAAAATACCTAGGAATACAGCTAACAACAGATGTAAAGGACCTCTTCTAGGAGTACTACAAAGCACTGCTGAAGGAAATAAGAGAGGACACAAACAAATGGAAAAACATTCCATCCTCATGGATAGGAGAATCAATATCATGAAAATGGCCATAATGCCCAAAGAAATAGATAGATTCAATGCTGTTCCCATCAAACTACCATTGACGTTCTTCACAGATTTAGAAAAAAAACTACTTTAAATTTCATATGGAATCAAGGAAGATCCCATATAGCCAAGACAATCCTAAGTAAAAAGAACAAAGCTGGAGGCATCATGCTACCTGACTTCAAACTATGCTACAAGGCTACAGTAACCAAAACAGCATGGTACTGGTATCAAAACAGATATATAGACCAATGGAACAGAACAGGGACCTCAGAAATAACAGCACACATCTACAACCATCTGATCTTTGACAAACCTGACAAAAACAAGCAATGAGGAAAGGATCTTCTATTCAATAAGTGGTGCTGGGAAAACTGGCTAGCCATATGCAGAAAACTGAAACTGGACCCCATCCTTATACCTTGTACAAAAGTTAACTCAAGATGGATTAAAGACTTAAATGTAAAACCCAAAACCATAACAACCCTAGATGAAAACCTAGGTAATACCATTTAGGACATAGGCATGGGCAAAGACTTCATGACGAAAATGCCAAAAGCAATTCCAACAAAAGCCAAAATGGACAAATGGAATCTAATTAAACTAAAGAGCTTCTGCACAGCAAAAGAAACTATCATCAGAGTGAACAGTCAACCTACAGAATGGGAGAAAATTTTTCCAATCTACCCATCTGACAAAGGTCTAATATCCGGAATTTACAAGAAACTTAAACAAATTTACAAGAAAAAAGGAAAAGACCCTATCAAAAAGTGAGCAAGGGATATGAACAGACACTTCTCAAAATAAGACATTTATGTGGCCAACAAACATATGAAAAAAAGCTCGGGCTGGGCGTGGTGGCTCATGCCTGTAATCCCAGCACTTTGGGATGCCAAGATGGGTGAATCACGAGGTCAGGAGTTCAAGACCACCCTGGCCAACATAGTGAAACCCCATCTCTACTAAAAATACAAAAATTAGCTGGGCATGGTGGTGTGTGCCTGTAGTCCCAGCTACTCAGGAGGCTGAGGCAGGAGAATCGCTTGAACCCAGGAGGTGGAGGTTGTGGTGAGCTGAGATCACACCACTGCACTCCAGCCTTGGCAACAGAGCAAGTTTGTCTCAAAAAAAAAAAAAAAATAGCTCAACACCACTGATCATTAGGGAAATGCAAATCAAAACCACAAGGAGATACCATCTCATGCCAATCAGAATGGTGATTATTAAGAAGTCAAGAAACAATAGATGTTGGTGACACTGTGGAGAAATAGGAATGCTTTTATGCTGTTGGTGGGAATGTAAATTAGTTCAACCATTGTGGAAGACAGTGTAGTGATTCCTCAAGGATCTAGAACCAGAAATACCATTTCACCCAGCAATCCCATTACTGGGTATATACCCCAAAGAATGCAAATCATTCTACTATAAAGACACATGCACACATACATTTATTGCAGCACTATTTACAATAGTAAAGACATAGAACCAACCCAAATGCCCATCAATGATAGACTGGATATAGAAAATGTGGCACATATACACCGTGGATTACTATGCAGCCATAAAAAGAATGAGATCATGTCCTTTGCAGGGACATAGATGAAGCTGGAAGCCATCATACTCAGCAAACTAACACAGGACCAGAAAACTAAGTACAGCATGTTCTTACTCATAAGTGGGAGCTGAACATTGAGAACACATGGACGCAGGGAGGGAAACATCACACACCGGGGCCTGTTGGGGCATGGGGGGCGAGGGGAGGGAACTTAGAGGACAGGTCAATAGGTGCAGCAAACCACCATGGCACATGTATACCTATGTAACAAAACTGCATATTCTGCACATGTATCCCAGAAATTAAAGTAAAATTTTAAAAAAAGTAATTGCAACTGAAATATTAAAATATATTGTTTCTATATATTGAATACATATATTTCACATACATTTTGTATTTTAATATATATTGAAATATAGTACTTATGGAGATTAAAACAAAAACAAAAACGAATTTGGCCATGCTTTTCAAGAAATGATTCTGAGTTAATTTCCCATAAGGAAATCTTCAACTCAACCTCACAGTTATATCCAAAAATCAGTTCAAGATTTACTGTGGATCTAACTATGCAAGATAGAACAATAAACTTTAAGAATAAAATAAAGGAGAATTTTTCATGACTTTAGGGGTAGGCAAAGATTATATAACTAGGTCAAAGGTGCTAACCATGGAGGAAAAATAATGGACTCTTTTAAAACAAAGAACTCTTCATCAATAGACACCATTAAGAGTGTGAAAAGAGAAGCTACAGAGTGGAAAATGCTTCCCATAATACACAGAGCCAACAAATATCTTGTATCTAGAAAAAAAAAAAACAAGAGAAAATGGGCAAAAGATGTGAATAGGCACTTTGCAAAAGAGGATATCCACATTGCTAAAAAAAAAAAAAAAAAATGAAAACATGCACAGCTTCATCAGTTTGCAGTAAAATACAACCGACAACCCAACAAGATACTAACACATTTTCACCAGAATGACTAAAAAGAAAATTCTCAATATCTAGTAATATCTAGTGTCACTGAGGATATGGGGGAACTGCAAATCCGTTCATTGCTGATGTTTGGATAAGTAGATACAAAACTCTGAAAAATGATATACTAAAATCTCCTAAAACTGAATACATCCACACTCTTAGACTTTACAGTGACCCCCCTGTATTGTCCCAACACCGATATGTACTTGTGTCCATGAATACACATGATTTGGAATGTTCATAGCATCACTATTCATAACGGCTGCAGGCCTGAAACTATTCAAGTGGCCATCAACAATAGAATAAAGTGTGGTACAGTCGTTCTCTCTGTTTTGCTTTCTTAGGTTTCAGTTACCTATGGTCAGCCTTGGTCTGAAAATAGATGAGCATATCACAATAAGATATTTTGAGAAAAAGAGAAACCACATTCACATAACTTTTATAACAGTATACTATTATATTTGTTCTATTTTATTATTGGTTATTGTTGCTAACCTCTTACTGTGCCTAATTTCTAAATTAATGTTATCTTCGGTATATATGTATAGAAAAAAATAATATACATACAGTATGGTACTATATTGATTTCTGGGATCCCTTGGGGGCCTTGGGATGTATTCCCTCATGGAAAAGGGAGGACTACCGTATATTTACATGGTGGAATATTACACCACTTTGAGAATGAGCAAATGATAACTGCATGAAAGAATGTGGACTAATCTCACATAGAGGGAAAGAAACCAGACACAAAAGAGTGCCTAGTATTTGTCAGATAATGTGATAAGCAAATCACACACATTACCTAATTCATTCCTTGCCACAACACCCTTAGTTACTATATGTATTCCAACTTACAGATGAGGAGGCTGAGGCCCAGAGAGTTTAGGTCTCTTGTCTATGTCCATAGCTAATAAGCTTGAGTACCTCTGAGACTTGGAGTTGCACCAAGAGACAGAACACAATGTCCTGCCGCTACCCACTGAGGTCCTCATCCCAGAGCTGGGAGGCATTTCCAAACTCTGGGGGGTTCCCACTTCCTTGAAAGTGGGAAGACGGACTTCACTGTCCCAGGGTTCAGAGGATAAATGGGGTTATCTATGTGAAAGGGCACATTTGTTTTTGGCTAAAGAACAGTGTCGTTTCCAACAGCCAGGAGAGAAAATTCTGTTCTCCAAGTATCATTCTTTTTCTGATTTCTCTTTGCTTTCTAAAATTCTGGAAGGAAATCCAAACTTGAACATGGAGTGATTTGATGTCTGATGAAAGGGATCTTTTCATTCGGGATGGGTGGGTGCAACTGTGATGCACAACTTTTCATCAATGAGCTGTGTGTACTGAAGACTTGTGTGGTTCCAGAGGAGCGTTTCAAGGGTGGTAGCACTTCTCCCTAATTTGTTGATTATTCTTGTCTTTTGGCCTCCAGACCTCTAATCCAGCACTGTTCAATAGACAACATAACCTACAAATGGAAAGCACATATATAATTCTAAAATTTTTAATAACCGTATTAAAAAACAGACAACACTAATTTTAATAATTTTAATTTTATTTTACCTGGCATACTCAAAATGTTATTATTTTGATATGGAATCAATATATAAACATATTAGCAAGGAGGTATTTTATATTCTCTTCTTCTTAAGAAATCTTTAAAGAGTATTTTACAGTATATAGCACATCTCAGTTGAGACTTTCAAGTGGTCAGTAACTGCATGCCGGTAGTGGCTACTGAACAGCGAAACTCTAATGGAATCAATTTCATACAATTCCCTAGACAAGGTCCCTTAATATACACCTAGAGGTAACATTTATGGAACATCTGGTGCATGCCAGGCAGGATGCCCGTGTCTTCTCTCATCATAACTCTAAGAAGTAAATATTATTATTCTTTCTATTTTACATACAAGGAAACTGAGACACAGACAGGCCAAGACAAACGCAAGCTCATGGAGGTTGTAAATTACAAAGTCAGAATTTAAACCCAGGCAGTCTCTCATTGCAGCTGAAGCATGTAACCGTAATGGCAAAACCTGCTAGCAAAAACCTGCAAATATTTTTGCACCAACCTAATAGAGTAACATATAGGACTCCTTTATAAGAATTATATAAATATTATTCAGAATTTTTTTACTATTTCAAGCATCCAGTTCCTGGTTTATTGAATAGCATTTTGGCAACAAGGTGTCTTTCTCCTAAGACTACTTATCCCAGTCACTACAAGGAGAATATATTTTAATGCATACTGCAGGACACAATCAAGGCAAAAATCTCAAGTTCAGGCACTGAGGGTCACCTGGCACATTCTAATGAAATGCTAAATGGAGCAAGGTGCAGGTATACCCTGACTGATCCAGCAGACCTGGTACTGAAATTAGGGTGACAAACCCTCCAGTTTTCCGAGGATGGAGTTTTCCCTGGCATGGGACTTTCAGTGGTAAAGGTTCCAGACAAACTGGGACAACAAGTTGGCTTCCCTACTTGAAATGGTGCAGGTGGGTGAGGCCCTTGCAAAAGGCATTGCACTTGTTCACCAGCTCACCAGAGCACTATGCATGAGAACTGATTCTTTTCTGTTCTGCTTGGCAGGACCCTGAACACCTTGGCTTTCAGTTCAAATATTGGCCTTTGTCCATGTGACTGACAATCATATCGGTACCATCCAGTGGACTCCTAATCTGTCTCCTCTCACTGACTGTAGCCCCTCTGACCTCTTCTCTGTCACTGCAGCAAGGGAATCTTTAAAAATGGGAGCACATCTGATCAATGAACCTCCTCAAGTGCCTGGGGCTGAAAACCTTTCAATGGTTCCCCAGTGTTCCCGAGATAAAGAGCAAGTCCCTGAACGAGCCCTAAAGGACAAGGCCTAGCTCCTGTTTGCTTCCTGAACTTCGTCTTATGCTGTGTCCCCTCTGCTTGCTCTGCTCCAGCCCCACTGGTTTTCGCTCTGGCCTCAGACGTGTTTGTCTCCCTTCAGCCACAGAACCTTTGCTCATGCTCTTCCTAATGCCTGGAAGATTCTTCCTGCCTCTGTCCCATTAACTGATGCCTATTTATTCTTCAGATCTCAGCTCACAAGTGGCTTCCTTGGGAAAAACTTCCCTGACCTCCTAGTCCACATAACAGCCACCTCACAGCATGCCCCCACCTCCCCTTCATAGCTCACAAGTTCACGTGTGTGTGTGTGTGTGTGTGTGTGTGTGTGTATTTGATTCATTCTCATCTCCGCCAGCAGAGTGTAAACTCCTTGAGGGAGTAGCTCTGCCTCTTTTGCTTCACCTTGTATTTCCAGCACCTAGAACAAGGCTTTGCACAAAGTAGATGTTCAATAAGCATTTGTTTTTGGAGTAAATGATGCATAGTAAGTGTTCAAGGTATATTTGGATTTTTTTTTTTTGGAGTGGGGCAGAAACATTGCTAAGAATAGAAAGTTACCAACCTAATTCTTGTTGGATTAGTAGTGAATTTCCACCAAGCTCAGCACTATATCTTGATCATCAGGAGAAATGCTCTAGATCTTGGATTTTGAGGGCCTAGGGGGTGGGAGGAAAAGACATAGGATAGCAATTTAAAAATGTTGTTGTTGTTATTATTATTATTATTATTATTATTATTACTTGAGACAGGGTCTCGCTCTGTTATCCAGGCTGGAGTACAGTGGTACTGTTACAGCTCACTGCCACCTCAACCTTCTGGGCTGAAGTGATTCTCCTTCCTCAGCTTCCCAAAGAACTGGGACTACAGGCACCTGCCAGCATGCCAGGTTAGTTTTTTTTTATTTTTAGTAGACAAGGTCTTGCTATGTTGCTCAGGCTGGTCTTAAACTCCCGAGCTCAAGTGACCCTCCCACTTTGGCCCCTCAAAGTGCTGGAATTACAGGCGTGAACCACCATGTCTGGCTCTTTTTAAAAATTATTGGCCAGGCGTGGTGGCTCATGCCTGTAATCCCAGCACTTTGGGAGGCTGAGGCGGATGGATCACCTGAGGTCGGGAGTTCGAGACCAGCCTGACCAACATGGAGAAATGCTGTCTCTACTAAAAATACAAAAAAATCAGCCAGGCGTGGTAGCACATGCCTGTGATCCCAGCTACTCGGGAGGCTGAGGCAGGAGAATCGCTTAAACCCAGGAGGCAGAGGTTGTGGTGAACCGAGATCATGCCATTGCACTCCAGCCAGGGCAACAAGAGTGAAACTCTGTCTCAAAAAAAAAAAAAATTATTAAGGGCTAGAAACAAACACAACAAACACATCCACTGTCTCCATCATTTAATAAAAGAAATACCATTTTAATACTCAAAGAGTAGGAAGGATATAACTTCAGAGAAAAAACAACAAAAAAACCCCAAAATTATCCCTGAGCAGACAGAGGTAGTTGGTATCTTTGCACTTTTGCAATGACAACTTCTGACACTAGTTTATGGATTCGAATCTTGTCTCCATTACTTCCTAGCTTGTGACCTTGGATAATCAACTTCCCCTCTCAGCACCTCTCTGCCCTCGTCTTGGAGGTGTCGTTAGAATGAAATGATTGGATGTATGTGAAGCACGTAGTGTCTGACTCCACAAATCACAGTGCTTAATACACATAGCAATAGCACCATCGTTACTAACTAGAGAC
Organism: Homo sapiens; assembly: GCF_000001405.40. Classification (NCBI taxonomy): domain Eukaryota; kingdom Metazoa; phylum Chordata; class Mammalia; order Primates; family Hominidae; genus Homo; species Homo sapiens. Next base: position 107,929,632 of record NC_000012.12, read on the forward strand.
AACAGCGTCACTTAGTGGTTTTTTGCCCTAGCTACATACAAGTTGAGCCCGCGGAGCAATAATAAGGCATCTACAGGCGGTGAACGGGAAACCTTGTATCATGGCCAAAACAGACCAGGGCAGACAGAAAAGCCATAAATATTCTGGAAACATTCAAGGTTCAGGCACGTCCGTCTCCCTGAGAATAAAGTTTGTTTCTGGGAAGCTACTGTCCAAGCTGTCAGTCCCATAAGAGGGAGAAAAAATAAAATCTCTCTCCCTGGGCCTCCCGGCAACTGCGGAGCCGCTTTACTGGGGTGGGGGAACGCTGTCTTTCCACAGTGGCTGGCAGGGCAGTGGGGCTCTGGCACCATCCCCGTGGGGGGTGGGTGATGAGAAAGGGGTCGCTGTCAGCCAGAGCCCTCCCTGCCTCCTGCTTTCCTTCAAGGTCTGAAGAATAAAAAAGGATAAACAAACGGAATGTGTTTTGTGCGGGTCACAAAACAGCAACAAATGTAAGCTCTGTGCAATCCCTGATAAGGGTTTTGCACGGATGGAGACATTAACCGTTGGAAATAACACTGTCCTCAGAAAAGCAGTTGCAGGAGAGGCTGTGAAACCTGCAAGTAGAGGTGAGGACTCTCTTTACCTTCCTTCCCAGTGTGGGAGATGGACAGGGATTTTTGTTTCCTGTCTCTGCTTGCAGGCTTTTTCACCTGTGACTGACTGGGAAGGAACCTCAGTGAAGGGCAGAGAAGATTGGCTCTGGAAGTAGGTAGGCTGGCATTCAGATTCCAGTTCTGTCACGTGCTGTGTGATCTTAAGCAAGCCACTGTCTCCCTGACCCTATTTCTGTATCTGCTGGGGATGATCATAGTATATCCCTCAGTTTGATTTGATGTTGAGTGGCCTAATCTATTCTATAACCACAGATGCCTATAGGGGCCAGGCAGATGTCATGAATGAGAGAAGCGGGTCAGATGCAGGGCAGTAGGGAGTGTTGGGGACTACAGTAAACCAGGGAGCACAAGCCCCGTGTAACGGGTACAGCTGGTCAGCATCCTCTGACCCAGGCACTCTGGCATTTGATCCAGGGCATTACAGACATTCTCAAAATCTTGGAGTCTGTTTCTTTGTTCAATAGTTTCTCGGTGGGCTTTGGCATTGTTGAGCTCAGCTGAGCTAAGAGACTAGATTTGGTCAGCAGTAAGTACAGTAGAAGGAAATGTGAGTTCAGTGTTGCCAGGGTTTTTAAATGCTCAAGAGAAGCAGGAAATCAGTTCCATTTTAAAATGCTGCCACTTCAGCAACATTTTTTTTTTTTTTTAAAGAGACAGGGTCTTGCTCTGTCACCTAGGCTGGAGTTCAGTGGTGTGATCATAGCTTACTGCAGCCTGGAACTCCTGGGATGAATTGATCCTCCCACCTCAGCCTCTTGAGTAGCTGGGACTATAGGCACCCACCACCATGCCTGGCTAATATTTTAAATTTTTTGTAGAGATGGGGATCTTGCTATGTTGCCCAGGCTGGTCTTGCATTCCTGGCCTCAAGCGATCTTCCTGCCTTGGCTTCTCAAAGTGCTGGGGTTACAGGATAAGCCACTGCACCCAGCTCAACATTTAAAAATTAATCCACCACTATCCAGACAAAAACCCTGTGCCAGCAGTGTAACCTTGGGCAAGCCCCTTAACATCTCTGAGTTTCTGTTTCTTCATGAGTAATGGGGACAAGAATACATCTAGCTCCTGATCTTAGCAATTTATATTTAACTTTTACCTTTTTATGATGAAGTAGTTTTACTATTACCTCTCATTTCACAGATGAGAAAACAGAGGCACAGGAAAGCTAAGGATTTACTTGCACAGGACCCTACAGCTAGTAAGTGACAGGACTATCGTGAGGCTTTAGAAGGAGATAATGCATGCAAACTGGTCAGTGAATATGAGCTATTTCTGTGTTGTCATCAGGTCATTATTACCATTATTAATAACAGAAATGGTTCAAGGCCAGTTCTTACACTTAATTCAATGGTCGAAGGAAGCTGCAGGACTTTGATCTGTCAGACAAAGATGATGGTTTAAAATTATGTGTTATATACTTTTGCAGGTAGCTCTTGGCCATTTTAATAGTTCCTTTCCACATAGGCATTCGACAGCCTTGCCAATGGGTTTCCTGGGACAATAATTAGATTTAGGCCCCTGGTCCAGTCAATAGATTCTCATCTCGGGATGACCAAGCTGATCATCACCAGTAATTTACAGCTCGAGTTGTTCTGAAATCAATATGAATTTGCTTTTCATCGAGAGGGCTGTAAAACATGGGTGACAGGCAGCACCCAAAAGCAGTTGACATGGGAGTGGAGAGCTAGCAGAGCCTGGAGAGAGGCCAGACAATTTAGAGGGAGATAAAGCAGAGGGTAGAGGAGGCTGACCTCTGTCCAGTGGGCCGTGGTCACAGCCGGCCAGAGTTCCCACTGGGACCTGCTCAGGACAGTCTTGATGAGAAAGTAGATTTGATTGACAGTGAGGTGTGGTAGAAAGGGAATAAGTTTTGGAGTCAGATAGAACTGGATTTCTATTTCAGCTGTACAATTTTCTACTCTAGGGAGTTGGTCTCAATTCTTCACGACTCGATTTTTCTAATCTGCAAGATGAGCAGATAACCGAACTTGTTGCACAGATGAAGGTGAAATGAAACTGTGTTTGCAAAGTGCTTATTTTGCTGCATGTGAGGCTGTCAAATGCATTTGTTAAGAGGAAAGGACTGCAGAGTAGGGTGGACCTGGGGGCAAATCCTGCCTCTTACCTACTAGCTGAGTAAAACTTGGGTAAGTCATTCCACCATTTTGAGCTTCAGTTTCTTTATATTGGAATAGTAATAGGAACGTCTGTCCAGGGTGGTTGTTATAATTAAATTAGATTAGATGATGCATATGAAGTTATATTAGCACACTGCGTGTAACATGATGTGAATTCAGCAAGAAGAGGGCATCATTTTTGTCAATCTGATTCTCATCCATCCCAAACAGGGCACAGAGGAAGCTCTCTGTTAACATCGGCTCAATTGCATGATAAATTAATGTTTTTAACACCCTTAAATTGGGTAATTTGAGGAGAGTTTAATACAAAAGTTAATGACACCAAAACATATTTAAATAATAAAACAACCATTAAAATTATACATGCATGATCTATTTACAAATATGTGGATGGGGCTCTGGAAAAACAAGATGAATGCTGAATGCCAGGAATACACCAGTGGGGAGCCATGGCCACTGTGGAGTCAATAAGAGTATTGTTCCAGCACTTTCTTTTCGAACCATTGCAATACCTCCCAGTAGAATAGGAAGAATGAACCTGCCCATCCCATTTGTTGTGAGCTTGACCATATGACTTGCCTGGGTCAATAGAATACAAAGTAGGAAGTGATTGGAGCAGAGGCTAGAAATATGCTTGCATGGCTTGGCTCGCCCTCTTGTGCTTCTATCATTTGCCATGAGAAGAACATGCTCTTGGTATCTGATGGCCTTGGAATAAGTAGACCCATGGAGCAGATCTGAGCCCAGCTGGCAGCCTGACCAAGATCTGCTGAACCCAATAGCACCAAAGACCTCCTACAAATCCTCAAGCAAAGAAATAAATGCTTGCTCCTGTAGCCACTGAGGTTTTGAGGTTGTAATGCAGTAAAAACTAACTCCTGCCCCCAGATTATAATGGGTGCAGGGAGATGAAGTTACTGGATTGGGTTGCCTCAGAGGAGCTGTGGCCTTCAAGCGGGGAAGTCAACAGCTCATCCACACTCCCTTCCCCTCCTTCTGTCTCCTCTTGGTGCTTCCCATTGGCTGAACTCAACTAGAAGTGGAGAGGAAGGGAGTCAATTAGAGAACCACTGAAGACCAGCTCCCTGGGGCACAGCACATGGTAGGGAAGGATGGAGAGTGGATGTGGAAGGGCAAACGGGAATTATCTTGTATTAGTCCATTCTTGCATTGCTGTAAAGAAATACCTGATACTGGGTAATTTATAAAAAAAATTATCATTTAATTGGCTCACAGTTACATAGGCTGTACAGGAATCATGGTGGCATCTGCTTCTGGGGCAGCTCCAGGAAATAATCATGGTGGAAGGTGAAGGGGAAGCAGGCATGTCTTACATTGCCAAAGCAGGAGCAAGAGGGAGAGTGGGGAGGTACCACACACTTTTAAACAACCAGATCTCATGAGAACTCACTCACTCACTCACTATCAGGAGAATAGCATTGAGCAGATAGTGCTAACTCATTCATGAGAACTCTGCCCTCATGATCCAGTCACCTCTCATTAGGTCCCACCTCCAACACTGGGTATTACAATTTGACATGAGATTTGGGTGGGGACACAGATCCAAATCATATCATATCCAGTGCAATTAAGGGGGAAGGAGGGTTATGTTGGACTCACATATTAACAAATAACTGTTCTAAGACCTTTGCCCAGGGGCTCCATCTATGGCCCTTTGGGCATCTTCTTCCCAACTCTTTCTTGGCCTCCTGGATTTCCCTTGTTCTGCGTGGTCACCAGGAACATTCTTTGGGATGTGAAGCTCAGTGAAGTTAGCCAAGAGGGCTTCCTTGAAGAACCCAATTATTTCAGAATTTTTGCCCTTCTTAATCCATCAGCCACATTTTGGAAGTGTTTCCAAAATTGTCATGGCTGAGAGAGAGATTCGGGGAATATTTTCTTCTGTCTGTTCCCGTTACTTTTTCCTCCTGTTGGCTCCCAACATCTTTAGCGAAACCATATGTTCTAGGGTATCATTCACAGGAGTCCCAGCTCCATCCTGTGCACTCCAATTTTTTTGCTAGTCAAAAAAATTTGACTTTGACAGGAACACTTTAGCACAAAAGTGCAGAGAAAGAGTTTTGAAATCAGATCTAAGTTATAAAGGTCAACTTATCTTCTTAGCAGCTGTGTGACCTTGAACAGAGGACCTGACCTTATTCCTGAGCCAGCAGAGATCATTTTAGCACCAGATCCTAGAGCAACTTTTGAGAATTAAATGGGATATCCATGAATGCCCTTAGCATAGTACTTTGTTAATGCTTAATAAATTCATTACTATACACTTCCTAAGTGAGGTCAGGGGTAAGACTGACTCTAGAATGGGGTGGCACCTAATGCTGTAGCTGATGCCACAGCACTCAGCCACCCACCCCTGGTATTTGGCAGGCTATGCACAGTTCTTCTGTCAGTGGAATTCCATTAGATCTTGGAAAAACAAAATTCTTCTTTCCAGGCAGGTAGAAACTGAGGCATCTCTCAGCCTTCCAGGGCTCCGGGCTGTACGGGGAAGGAGATTTCTCTTTGGATCACCCTGCTGGTGGTCCCTCTTCTGGTGCCATCCACCAATTAAGCAGCCATTCATTTCACTCCATTCTGGAGAAACAAGAGTTTGCCAAACCCTGTAATATCCTGGGATTTGTGAATTATTAAATCTAAATATAGATTTATATGTCTCAATTCAATGGTGAATTTGGGTCAGCCTAACTCTTGTAGATAAGTGATATGTACAATATACGATGATTACAGAAGAAAAGTAGAGATGATTTCAGGAAGCTATTCAAATGCGAGAGAAGCTATTATCTGTTTCCACTGTCACCTACCTCATGCCCAACCCTATTCACCACCAATCTAGCTGCTCATTCATCCCTCCCCCCAACCACCTTCCTCGTTTCTCACCTACTACACATCCCATCCTCCATCCATCCATTCTTCCATCTACCTCATTCCCCTTCAAGCCCATATACCCACCTATCCATCCATTTACCCACCCACCTATCAACTATGAAACCTTTATTCCATTCACTCCTCCACCTGCTCCATCTGCCATCTTCCCATTCACTACTCACCACCCAACCTCACAGCCACCCATGCATCCATTGCACATTCATCTATCCATTCCCTCACTACTCACCTACCCAATCTATCACCCCATGTCATCCATCTATCCACTAACCACCCATCCTAGCCCCAATCCTATCCATTCACCATCCACCAACCATTTCCTACACAGGCACCCACCCTATTCATCCATCCATCCAAACATTCAGCATGCACCCAGTTCATCCCTCCATTTAGCAAATATTTATTAATTACCCATATGTGCCAGGGATTATGCTATGGACTTGGCACACACATGCCTAAGAAATGACTTTTTTCCCAAGAACTTCTATACCCAGTGTGAATGAGATATACTCTGAAACAAAAAGACAAAATAGCCATTAAGTTTTAATAAGACATGACAAACACGAGGCAGCATCTTGCAGTGATTACGTGTGCATGCTTTGAAGCCAGACCTATTTGACTTTGATTTGGGCTTTGCCATTTGATAGATTGATTTCCTCATATCAATCACAGCACTTTGTTAAACCTGTTTCCCCACCTGCTAAACAGGAATAATAATTGCATTTACTTCAGAAGATCATGGTGAACCCTAAACAAGTTAGTGTTAAGTAAGTTAACACATTGTGAGAAGGGCCCATTCACAAGGAACAGTGGACGCCCTCTACCAACCTAGAGTGGCCCAGCTGACAACTGACAAGACAATGGGAACCTCAGTCTTAAACTGCAGGAACTGAATTCTTCCAGCAAACACATGGACTTGGAAGGGGACCCTGGGCTCAGAAGAGAGCCTGCTAACACTTCAATGCAGTGTTGTGGGATCTTGAGAAGAAGACCCAGCAAAACCACACCTAGACTTCTGACTCATGGCAACTGTGAGATAACAATTGTGTGTTGTTTTAAGCCACTTAGTTTGAAGTAATTTGTTATGTGGCAATAGATAACTAAGACATGGAGTTACTCGCCCAAGGCTGCATAACTCCTCAGTGATAGAACCTGGATTCAGAACAAAAGCGAACCACCACACCTCCTGAAAGATAATGAGCCAGAGGGGCTAAAATGCCAAAGATTTTCTGATTAGCACTCAGCTGACCAGAAAATTAATTAATCAGAATCTCTACTTCCTTGGACCTTATGATTAGTCAGGGATTTTCTGCATTTGAAATCAAGTTTTCCACGGTGATTGCACCAAATACCATGGCTGCCCTGATGCTGCTGTACAAGTGCAGCAACTGTAGAGTTGGGGGAAGAAAGTTCCACTTTGGATGTGATCCAAAGGTCTGATTCAGAACACCTAAGTGTTTCCATTTTGAAAATGTGATGAGCATTGCTTACTGAGAAGTAGCCATCTGGTTTCATGCCTCTGCTGCATTCCCCCCCCATTGGACCACATGGGCTGAAGAAATTAGATCTGTGGACATAAGACTTACTCATTTTAAATATAGAGAATGATTCCATGGGGGCAGTGGTCTACTAATCAGACAGCCACGACCACCACTACTACCAAAATGACAATAGCAGCTCACAGTCATTCAGAGCTTTCCTGAGCCTGATGCAGAGCCCAGCTGTGAGACCTATGGGTTACCCAGGCAGGCTCATAATTTGGCACTCTTTTTATCGTTATGTTTTAATATTTATTCATCATCTATCTGTTGGGTGTCAGGAAAACTCAGTTACTGTTAATAAAATTGTATGCTTTTTTCTAACTCCAAATGTGGATCAGGTGTTTCACTCACAGTAGGAATGGAGAAAAAGTCACGTTTACTCATTCATACCCTGGGGCCAGCATGGAATCAATGAACTGAAAACATTGGACAACATGTTTTTCCCTTATCTGTCTTACCTTTTCTCACTTCAGTTTTCCTTTGTAGCTTCTTAGGAGACATATTAAAGGGATCAACATTTAGATCATGAAATAAATCTCCTTTCTAGCAAAGAGCTCTGTGGGCTGCAGAAGTGCAGTGCTAAATTCTCAACAGACCAAGTTGATGCCAGTGACCAGACTTTTAAAGCTTTTTCACTTGTTCATGCTGTCTGCTCCAGAGTGAGGGCTCTGGTTTGCATTTGGCCAGTTATGAGTATGTGTAGCTCTGTGTTGACTGGCTCCACATTCTAGATCTAATCCAAGGGTGCCTTGGCACACACTGCATGACTGGTTTGTCCCTCAACCTCATCAGTCTCTGCTGAACACTTTGAAGAAATCATCTCGTCTTTTCTTCCCTATCATGTTGTGAGGCAAGTACTATAATTGGCCCCATTTTCCTGATGAAAAAAGTGAAGCTTAGAGAGGTTAAGAAGCTTTCCCAAGCTTAGACAGCCATTAAATGGCAGAACTGGGATTCGACTCCAAGACCGACTGCCCCCAGAGCTTTTATTCATTATATTTGATGCTAAAATCCAGCATTTTGCAGGTGCACATTTGTTTTCATGGAAAAGTGACTGTATCAAGGATGAGTCCCACTGTAGCCACCATGAGCTGCTTTGTTGGGGGAAACAATGCAAGGGAAAGGTGTGAGGAGGTGCACACTCACCTGAGCCTCTAGCACAGGTGTCAGAAGTACTATGAGGTTGAAGACTCTCAGCTGTAGCACATCTCAGATTTGGTCAGTATTCATTTTATTCATACATCCAATTCAATTCAATTCAATTCATTTATTCATTCATTCATTTGAGATTGATTAAGAACCCATGATGACAAAGAGTGTTTTATGAACTAGCCGGTGAATTAGACAATGTCCCTGCACTTATGGCTTGCATTCTAATATGGAGGTAAAAGAAATAAGGAAACCAAGAAATAAAATACTTTTAGAAAATAATAAGCAACATGAAGGAAACAAGGGGGGTTGTGACAGAGCAACAGTGGGATCTGGGTAGAGAGAACAGTAAGGGAAGACCTGTCTGAGGAGGTGACAGCAGAGCTGAGATATGAATGGTGAGAAGGAGGCAGTGAGGACAGGACCTGGAGGAGGAGCATTCCAGGCACATGGAAGAGCAGATACAGTGACCCTGGGCTGGGAGTGAGCATTGCTTAGACAAAGGAGAGAAAGGATGCAGTTGAGGCAAAAGCACAGTGCATGTGGTAATACACAGGGAAGCCTGGTGTGGCTTGAGACCAGAGAAGTTGGTATGGGCCCCTAGGGCATTTCAGGGCAAAAAAAGAACTTGGACTTTGGCCTGGTGTAAGCAGGGAGCCATAAAAATGAACAGCAGGACCCAGGTAATACTTTTTTCAACGATTTCTCTGAATGTCATGGGAAAAATGGAAAAAGAGGTCCAAGAGTGATAATAAGAACAAGTGGGAGACTGCTGCAGAAGTCCTACTCCATATAGAAGGCACATCTGAGGGATTTCATGTTTCATTTCACTCCAGCCAGACTGGAACCCTTGCCAGTTCCCTTAACATGCCAAGCTCTTTCATGCCTCAGGGTTTCCCCCACCTGCAATACTCTTTCAGCCCCTTTCTTTAGCTAAGTCCAGTTCTTTTTTAGGCCTAAAAAGTCCCTCTTATCCAATGTCTTTTCATCTAGGAAGCCTTCTCTGACCCCAAGTGCAGGTGAGCGCTCCTTGTTTCTTATTCCCATGGCAACCAGCTCTTCCTCTTAATGGCACCCATCTGCCTTGCAACTACTTAAGCAAGTCCACCGTCCCCTGCTGTTCCCTTTATGAGCCCCACGAAGGCAATAATTACATCACTGCAGCCGCAAATAGAATGCACAAAGAAGGCTCTCAGCAAATATTTATTTCCTGAAATAATATTTTGTTGAAGTCCGTGGCAACTTGAGATTTATGCTACTGACCCTAAATGATTTTTAAACAATTAAGTAGGGTCAGTCTTTCAAACAATTTTTTGTTTTTTTGAGATGGAGTCTTGCTCTGTTGCCAGGCTGGAGTGCAGTGGTGCGATCCTGGCTCACTGCAACCTCTGCCTCCCAGGTTCGAGGGATTCTCCCACCTCAGCCTCCTGAGTAGCTGGGACTACAGGTGCGTGCCACCATGCCCAGTTAATTTTTTTGTATTTTTAGTAGAGACGGGATTTCACCATGTTGGCCAGGGTGATCTCAATCTCTTGACCTCGTGATCTGCCCTCCTTGGCCTCCAAAAGTGCTGGGATTACAGGCATGAACCACTGCACCCAGCCCTCAAACAAATTTTTTTAGAGCAATAGCTATGATGGCTACATGCCTTGTATGTGCCAGGAACAATATTAAGCACATTACACTCAGTTACTCATTTAATCATCTCAATAACCATATAGTATAGGAACATTCACCACTGTTTTTCAGATGGGAAGCTGAAGATGATCATGCTTAAGTAACTTGCCCAAGAAGACATTCTGATTATGTGATGGAGATAACAATTCAAATTCATGTCCATTTAGATGCAAAGCCCATGCTTTTTAAACTAATCACTCCTGAAGACAGGCACACTCATTCCCTCAGCAAGTATTTACTGAGTGTCAGCTTCAGTGCAGAGAAAGATATGATGTTGAATTAGCCAGAGTTCCTGCTTTCTAGGAGATTAGCATCTAGTAGGAGAGCTGAGACCTGGAGTGAAGAATCTACGTAATGTTTGTAATGTGGGAATCCATATGGCCCAGTCTAGAGAACTGTTGAGATCAAGAGAATTCAGTCTAAAACTCTTGAAAACAATTTCAAAGTAACACATTCACTTATTGTAATTCTCTAACACGATGAAGAGGACTCATAGTCTATAGAAATATTTCCTAAATCTTTTCCCTTTGCCACAGCTTCCCTCACATACTACAGCTTTTCCCAAACCCCTCAATCCCAGCCTCACTCCAAATCTTTTTCCAGTCAACTGATGCACCTCTTTCCCTTATTCCTTCTGTTTTTTTTTCTCCATAAGATTCTGTATCATTGAATCTCAAAACAGTTGACAAAACCCAAGCCAACTCTTTTGCCAATTCTGTGAAAACCATGGAGTTTCTTCTAGAGAAATACTCAAGTGCATGTACATGCAGACCAGCCCCTCCTGCCCCACACACAGACATGCACTTATTTTACTGGTTTGCCTGTAATTTCAAGGGTTCCACAGACGTCTGAATCTTACCCACAGTTTCTGGATGATAAACCTTGGCATTGGTAATCTGAAAAGCCATTAGCTACTTAGCATTTGCCAAAGCAGGATAGCTCTTCCTCTTTCCATGTGCATGAGAGGACTTCAGAAATTTGTATAAAAATAGATGCCACCCCAACCAACCAAACCCCATGCCTGCTGCTTCAGATGCATGTCTTTCTTCACAGTTTCCAGCTTTAAGTGGCTTTATCTTGCAGGGAGAAGGAAACTCTGTAATTAAGATAGCCAGACAACAAAGGACTTAGCAGCTCTCTAGCTGTTGACATTCTAGCTAAAAGAGCTGGACCCAACTCTCTCCTTTTTAAGCCCGGGTTCAGGCTAAAACCTGAACCCTGATACCGAGTGATTTTAATTAACCCACATGGTATGGTTCTGCAAACCAACTGTTCTCAGCCACTGCATTATGTCACTAGTGGATGGCCATCAGTTATCAGAAATGTTGGAAAGTAATTGGAACTATTAGTTAAGTCCTAGAGTTAGAACATTATTTGCTTAAAAAATAAATTTGTGGAGACTTCTGGTTCCAAAATGGCAGTGTAGAAGCAAGCTGGCTTCACTACCCCACACAGAAAACCAAAAACATATATACAGTCCTGAGATTATTACCAGCAAGATCCCAGAACTCAAATACGAGAATGAGACATTTCCCAGGGCCACAAAGAAGTGAAAAAATTCTGAGCAGATGGTTAGAGAATTGGATATCTATATCTGCAATGTCCCTACACCCAATCTGCCTGGCACGAAGTACATGGAAAATTTCCCCCCAACTCATGATTTCTACATTGAAAAAAGTGAGACCAAGGGGACAACTAACTTACCCACTATCTTATGTTCCCTGGCAGGAGACCTGTCCCTGCCTCAGCCTACAGGAAGCATCAGGAGTGCCTGAAGGAAGAAATATTTCTAAGGACAGGCAGAGACAAAGCAGGGAGGCAAGAGTACCATCCATAGCCCCGAAAGCTCTACTCTGCAACTTAGCCAAAGGAGATGCTAAATCAGAGTGGCTGTTCAGCTGCACCATGCAGAAGGAGGTTTGTTCCACAGGTCTACTGGACATGAACCCCTAGCCAGCCTTTCCACACTACTAGAATATTCCCTTTGAGACCCCATCCATTCAGGACAGGCAGTACTCTGATTGTTTACCAGAGCTTGGCTTGGGCACCATCTAGTCCTGAAATGGAGGCAGCAACTTAGCAGAAAAAAAAAATAAACAAATAAATTACAAAGACTCTCTAAGCAAACATACCTAGTAAAAATGAAAACAGGCCACACAGAGAAGACTGGCATAAATAACTAATCATTCAATGCAAACACACACACACACATCCACAAAAACAATAACAAACAAGGACCCATGATCTCCCCAAACAAACCAAGGAAACAGTGATGAACCCTAATGAAATAATGATATGTGAGCTCTCTAACCAATAATTGAAAACAGCAGTTTTAAAGAAACTCAGTGATCTGCAGAGAAAAGCAATTTAGAAATTTATTGAAGAAATTTAACGAAGAGATTGAAATAATAATAAACAAACAAATCTTGGAACTGAGAAATACATTTGCTGAACTGAAAAATTTATTGGAGGACCTCTACAGTGAAGGGATCAAGCAGAGGAATCAGTGAGCTCAAAGACAGCTATTTGAAAATACACAGACGAGAAGAAAGAAAAAAGAATGAAAAGGAACAAAGATCATTTACAAGATACAGAAAATTACTACAAAAGTCCAAATCTAAGAATTATTGGCGTTCAAGAAGGAGTTGAGCAAGAGCAAGGGGTAGAAAGCTTATTCAAAGAAATAATAACAGAAAAATTTCCAAAACTTGAGAAAGATATAAATATCCAAGTATAGGAAGATCAGAGAACACCAAACAGATTTGATCCAAATAAGACTACCCCCAGGCATATAATAATCCAACTCTCAAATGTCAAGGACAAAGAAAGAATCCTAAAAGCAGCAAGAGAAAAGAAGCACATAGCATGTAAAGGAACTATAATTCATCTGGCAACAGACTTCTCAGTGGAAACCATACAGGCCAGGAAGGAGTGGAACACCACTTTCAAACTGCTAAAATAAAAGACCTGCTGTTTAAGAATACTGTATCCAGCAAGGCAATACTTCAAATATAAAGGAGAGGTAAAGTCTTTCCCAGACGAACAAAAGCTGAGAGAATTCACCACCACCAGACCCATCTTATAAGAAATACTAAAGGGATTTCTTTAATCTGAAAGAAAAAAGAAAATACTAACATCCAAAAAGAAAACATGTGAAGATACAAAACCTATTGGTAAAATTAAGTATATGGAACAGACCTAGAATACTCTAATACTGTCATTGTAGTAAGCAATCTACTAATAACTCTAGTATGAAGCCCAAAAGACAAATCTATCAAAAAGCAATAATAGTTACAGCAACCTGTTAAAAGATAGACAATACAAAAATATGTAAATTGAGGCAACAAAAAATTTAAAATGTGAGAGGGATAGAGTTAAAGTGTTACAGGTTTTTTTCATTTTTCCTTTGTTTTTATTATTTTCTTTGTGATCTAAGTTGTCATCTCTTTAAAATATCTTGTTATATCTAAAAGATATAGATCTTTTTGTAAGCCTCATAGTAACAGCAGTGCAAAAATTTTGGAATTGAATCACTAAAAATAACAACCAATGAACTAAAACATACTATTAATAATAGAGAAAATCACTTAACTACAAAGGAAGGCCATAAGAAAGGGAGAGAGGAGCTACAAAATGATCAGAGAACAAGCAACAGAATGACAGTGGTAAGTTATTGCTTACCAATAATAACACTGAATGTAAATTGACTCAATTCTCCAATTAAAAGGCATGCAGTGACTGAAGAGATAAGATACAAGACCCAAATATATGCTGCCTACAAGAAACCCACTTCACCTATAAAGAGACAGATAGACTGAAAATATAGGAGGTGGAAAAATATATTCCATGCAGCTGGAAACCAAAAGAAAGCAGGAATAGCTATTCTTGCATCAGATAAAATAGACTATACATCGAAGACTTTAGAAAAAGACAAAGAAGTTCACTATATAACAATGAAGGGGTCAGATCAGCAAGAGTATATAATAATTACAAATATCTATGCACCCAGCACCAGAGCTCCCAAGTATATATAGCAAACATAAATTGATCTAAAGGGAGAGATATACTGCAATACAATAATAGTAGGGGATTTCAAAACCCAACTTTTGGTAATGAATAGATCATCCAGACAGAAAATATACAAAGGAACATAGTTAAACTGTACACTAGATAAAATAACCCTACCTGACATTTACTGGACATTTCACTCAACTGATGCAGAATACACATTATTTTCATCATCATATGGAAGATTTTCCAGAGCAGACCATTTATTAGACCACAAAATAAATCTCAACAAATCCAAATAGTGGAAATAAAATCAACTATTTTTTCCGACCACAGTGGAATAAAACTAGAAATGAATAAAAAGAGGAACCTCAGAAACTTCACAAACACATGGAAATTAAACAATATCTCCTGAACAACAAATGGGTCAATGAAGAAATTAAGAAAGAAATTTAAAAAATTTTGAAACAAATGAAAATGGAAATACAACATACCAAAATCTATGAGATACAGCAAAAACAGTACTTAGAGGGAGGTTTATAGCAATAAACTCACAGGGCAAAAAGTAGGAAGGCTTCAAATCAACAGCCTAAGGATGTACCTCAAGAACCTAGGAAAAGCAAGAACAAACCAAACCCCAAATTCAAACAATAAAAGAAATAATTAAGATCAGAGAAAAAATAAGTGAAACTGAGATTTTTTAAAAAATACTGAAGATACAGAAGAGCAACAAAACAAAAAGTTGGGTTTTTGAAAAGATAAAATCAACAAACCATTAACTGAACTAACCAAGAAAAAAGAAAGAAGACTCAAATAACTAAAAAGAGGAATGAAAAAAGATACATGACAACTGAGAACATAGAAATAAAAAGAATCATTAAAGCCTATTATGAACAACTATACAACAACAAATTGGGAGACTAAAAAGAAATTGATAAATTTCTGAATTAATATCCTCGGTAGATATTAATCTACCAAGATTGAATCATGAGGAAATAGAAAATCTCAACAAACTAGTAATGAGTAACAAGATTGAAGCTATGATAAAATGTCTCCATCAAAGAAAACTCTGAGACCTGATGGCTTCACCACAGAATTTTGCCAAACTTTTGAACAAGAATTCATGTCAGTTCTACTCAAATTCTTAAAAAAAAGTGAATAGGAAGGAACACATCTGAACTAATTCTACGAGGCCAGCATTACTCTGATATCCAAACCAGACAAGAACATAATGAAAAAAGAAAACTATAGACCGATATTACTGATGAGCGTAGATGCAACAATCCTCAACAAAATACTAGCAAATCGAATTTAATAACACATTAAAAAGAACATTCACCATGATCAAGTGGGATTCATCCCAGGGGTGCAAGAATGGTTCAATTATGCAAGTCAATAATATGACACATCATATTAACAGAACCAAAAATAAAAGCAATATAATTATTTCAGTAGATGCTGAAAACATATTTGATAAAATTCAACATCCCTTTATGAGAAAATTTTCAACAAACTGGGTATAGAGAAACATACCTAAAAATAAGAAAAGACATATATGAAAACCCATAGCTAACATTGTATTAAATTGGGAACAATTGAAAGTCTTTCCCCTAAGACCTGGAACAAGACAAGGATGCCCACTTTCACCATGCTATTCAACATAATACTGGAAGTGCTGGGCAGAGCACTTAGGCAAGAGAAAGAAATAAAAGCCATTCAAATTGAAAAGAGAAAAACCCAAATGGTCCAACAAAAATTTCTTAGAACTGATAAATGAATTCAGGAAAGTTACAGGATACAAAATTAGCATACAAAAATCAGTAGTATTTATATATACCAACAGCAAGCAGTCTGAAGAAGAAATCAAGAAAGCAATCCCATTTACAATAGCTACAAAGAATACAAAATACCTGGGCATCAATTTAACCAAAAAAGATAAAGATCTACAGAAGAGAAACTATCTAACACTGAGGAAAGAATTTGGAGAGGACACACAAAAGATGAAACTGTCATTTTAACAATATTAATTCTTCCAATCCATGAACATATATCTCATGCTCATAGATTGGAAGAATTAATATTGTTATAATGACAATACTACCCAAAGCAATTTACAGATTCAATGCAGTACTACAGAAATATCAATGACATTCTTCACAGAAATAGAAAAAACAATCCTAAAATGTATGTGGAATCACAAAAGACTCTGACTAGGCAAAGCAAACCTGAGAAAAAGAATAAAGCTGGTGACACTATACTATCTTACTTTAAAATATGCTACAAAGCTATAGGAACCAAATCAGCATGATACTGGCATAATAACAGACACATAGGCCAATGGAACAGAATAGAGAACCCATATGTAAATCCACACATTTATAGTCAACTCATTTTTGACAAAGGCTCCAATAACATACAATGGGGGAAAGAAAGTCTTTTTAATAAGTGATGCTGGAAAACAAGATACCCCATTTCAGAAGAATGAAACTTGATGCTTTTCTCTCACAGTATAAGAAATCAAATCACAATGGATTAAAGACTTAAACTTAAGACCTAAAACTATGAAACTAATAGGAGAAAACATTGGGGAAATGCTCCAGGATGTTGCTCTGGGCAAAGATCTTTTGTGAAAGACCTCAAAAGCATAGGCAACCAAAGCACAAATGGACAAATGGGATTATATCAAGCTAAAAAGTTTCTGCACAGCCAAGAAAACATTCAACAAAGTGAAGAGATGACCCACAGAATGGAAGAAAATATTTGCAAATTATTTATCTGACAAAGGATTAATAATCAGAATTTATAAGGAGCTCAAGCAAATCAATAGCAAAAAACAAGCAATTTTGATTGAAAAGACAAATAACCTGATTAAAAAATGGGCAAGAGATATGAATAAACATTTCTCAAAAGAAGACGTGCAAATGGCCAATAGGTATATGAAAAAAATGTCAACACTGCTAATCATCAGAGAAATGCAAATCAAAGCCACAATGTGATATTATCTCACCCCAGTTAAAATGGCTTTTATCAAAAAGACAGGCAATAACAGATGCTGGTGAGGACGTGGAGAAAGGAGAACCCTCAAACACTGTTGTTGGGAATGTAAATTAGTATAGCCACTATGGAAACCAGTATGGAGGTTTCTCAAAAAATTAAAAATACAACTATCATATGATCCAGCAATGCCACTATTGGATATATATCCAAAAGAAAGGAAATCAATATATTAAAGAGTATCTCCATTCCCATATTTATTGGAGCACTATTCAAAATCAATCTAAGTGCTTATCAGTGGATGAATGAATAGAGAAAATGTGGCATATGCACACAATGGAATACTATTCAGACATAATAAGAATGAAATCTTTCTTTTGCAGCAGTATGGATGGAACTGGAGGCCATTATGTTAAATGAAATAAGCCAAGCACAGACAGACAAATATCACATGTTCTTACTCATATGTGGTAACTAAAAAAGTGGTTCTCATGAAGATAGAGAGTGGATTAGTGGTTATCAGAGGCTGGGAAGGGTAGGGAGTCAGAGGGATGAATAGGTACAAATATATGGTTTGATAGAAGAAATAAGACCTAGTGTTTGACACATCAGTAGGGTGACTATAGTTTGCAACAATCTACTGTACATTTCAAAATAGCTAGAAGAGAATAGTTGGAATGTTTCTAGCATAAAGAAAAGAAATATTTAAGGTGATGGGTATGTCATCTTTACAAATTTTATGAATGTGTAAAATTATTACACGTGTGCCAAAAATTGTCCATCTATTATGTATCAATTAAAAGTATTTAAAAATAAATACGCTTGAGAACATTAAAGTTATCATTGTAATGATACTGCTTTCAATGCCTTGTTTTCAGATGTGCTTTCCTGTAGATGGGGGATGGAGGGAATGGGCAGTGGGTGCCATCAGGGGAATTCTGAATAGCCCTGGGATTCCTGCGTGACTCAATCTTGCCCTTCATGGTTTCTGATTTTAAAAATATTTAAAAAGGGCTTTGGTAACCCCCCAGTTTTTATGTTACCGTTTTTCTCCTCCCAGAATGGCGCTTCCCAAACCCTAGTTATTTTAACATTATCTTCAAGATTTTTGTTGTATTTTGACTTATGCCCCTTTAATTTTCAATTTAAGATTTGTTCTAATAGTCAATCCTGTTTAGCCATATCCTAAGCAATAATAATCATGAAATCATGGGATTGATGTGTTTGTTATTTCCACACATTAAAATAAGTACGTAATTTTAAAAATAAAATCATGGTTCATGTGCCATCAAAAATAATTCTCTACACCCCCAGTGGTGTGGTTACCACACTTTGAAGACACACTGTTCCAGTAAGTGCTCTCATGAGTTGAAAACCTTATCTTTGATCCACTTATTCATTGGTAAATTCCATTTCTTCTTTTAAAATCATCTATTAGGTGCTTACTGTGTGCCAGGCACTGGTCTATGCATGTGCGTTGCTTATTATTTTATTTAATTCTTTGAACAAAACTTTGAGGTTGTTATTGCTATTCCCATTTTGCAAATGGAGAAAAGGAGTCTCAGAGACATGTCTGCACGTCTTGCCTAAGCTCACACAGCCTGTGGTTTTTCCAGGAGGACAGAATCAGGTATCTATATTGTGAGAAACTATTAGCAGTGATGGGGAGGCTTGTTGACCTCCTCAAGAACGCAGGCACTGCGTTTCTAAGACGGCCTCAGCTCCTCTGAACAGTCAAATCACAGAGGAGACATTTGTTTGTGAAACATGTCACAGTGTTCCAGCAGCCTAGATTCTTTCCAAGAGTTTCTCAAAATCCAGCAGAATAAATATCAGATTTGTTATTGCCTACCACATAATAGGAATATAACGTATTACCGTTGGAGCGCCAGGCTTTCAGCAGCCTCCATAAATCTGGCGCTCCAATTGACTCCATATGCATTTAAGCAAAACTCAGCCCACATAGGGGAGCGGTGGATGTAATTGGAATATGGAATGGGGCTTTTGGATTAATCACATTCTGAATATTAACTGTGTATTATGCTGATTTCCTTGCGAATATATTCAGAAGTCTCAGCATGTGTACCTGACTCAGGCTTATACAATCAGAATAGCAAATGTCCTGATTGTGAGGTTGGAAACAGCTCCAACTGCAGTGTATGAGGCCGAATTTCATTTCCCCTGAGAAAAAGAATATTTCAACACTCTCCGGGAGGCCTGGAAACACAATGTATGGTTTTTCGAAACCAGGGGAAGAAGCAGTGTTTGTTTTCAACTGCCTAGTTCAGAATGGATTTTGCCAAGGAACAAGACCGTGTTTTGTAGTGAATTCTTGGAGGATTTTTCTGACCCATAACTATTTTATTTTTAAAGGAATAAGCACTCTATGATTGTCTTTACTGGGTGGAGAAGGCAGTGGGGTCGGAAGGTGGTAGAGGAGGGAATAGGAAGAGGCACACTGTGACCAAGAATTAAGGTTTAAAGGGGAAAATTCTGAATGACTTCGTGCTCTGCCAAGGGCATTGCTGGGACGACCTTGCTGCATCACTACAGAAAACATCCTATGTTAGTTACACAATTCATCATTCACAAAGCAAGGCTATACCTGCAGAATCTCGTCTAGTACTAACAGCAATTCTGAGAGGTAGGTGGTATGATTCCCATTTCACAGATGTAGAAACTGATGCTTGGACAGTTTCTGCCTTGAGCAAATGTGAATAAAAAAGTCATGGGAGGCCGGGCGCGGTAGCTCACACCCGTAATCCTAGCATTTTGGGAGGCCAAGGCGGGCAGATTGCCTGAGCTCAGGAATTCAAGACCAGCCTGGGCAACACGGTGAAACCCCATCTCTACTGAAATAGAAAGAATTAGCTGGGCATGGCAGCGTGCGTCTGTAGTCTCAGCTACTTGGGAGGCTGAGGCAGGATAATTGCTTGAACCCGGGAGGCGGAGGCTGCAGTGAGCCGAGATCGCGCCACTGCACTCCACCCTGAGCGACAGAGCGAGACTCTGTCTCCAAAAAAAAAAAAAAAAAGAAAAAGAAAAGTCATGGGAGAAGGACCTGAACTGGAGCAGGGTGGCAAGTGAGGCACTTGCTTCAGGCACAATGTGAAGGGGCACCCCCAAACCTCAATAATTGAGAAAAATTACATTTTAATGTAATAATGTTTTAAATTACTGCAAAAAATCTATGGGGAGAAAAATATCAAAATTCTAAATAAGGACAGGATTAGTAATAGTGCTTTGATGAACCATATTGGAGCCTAAGGCAAAAGGAAAAGTCAGCAATTCTGATCTGGTCTTCATTTATTTTGATGACGTACTTTTCTTTCTCTCTTTTTTTTTTTTTTTTTTTGGCTTCCCTTTAAATTTTGTGCCTGAGGCCAGTGCCTCGCTAGCTTCACCCCAGTCCTAGCTGTGCATGGGAGCCAAAATTATCTCCCTAAAGCCTACATCTGCTCAGATCAGGCCTCGGATCAATACCTTCCAGGGGCTCCCTGTCATCCAAAGGAAAGAGTTCAGATGCCCAAGCTTGACTCTGGGAGCTTCTGAAATTGAAGGTGCACAGACTGCAGGCTCTGAACTGGGCTCTGTGGTTTACATACATAAAATGGGCTAACAGTTCAGGCCTTAGACTTAGGGACTTAGACTACCTGGGTTTGGATCTTGCTCTATAATGTACTAACAGTGTGACCTTGAATAGTGAACTTAAAGTCCCCAAGTCTCAGTTTTCTCACCTGAAAAGGGAGAGAGCAATGATATCCAGCTTATAGAGTTGCTGAGATTAAATAATAAAAACAACAAGAATAATGAAAACAAGAACGATGCCATTTATTAAGTACCAACCTTCCCAGCGTCTAGCACATAGTAAGTGTTCAGTTAATCCACTCAACAAATATTTATTGAGTACCTACTATATTCCAGGTTCTGGAGCTTTTGAGACTCTAATAAATGTTAATTGTTATTACTATTATTTAATCTTTACAACAGTCTCATGGAAGAGGTACTACTATTTTCATCCTTATTTTACAGATAGGGAAACTGAGGATCAAAGGGATTAAGTAGTATACCGAAGGTAAGCTAACAGTTTAATTGAAGAGCCAAGAGTGGAGTCCTATTAATTTTGGCTCCAAAGTCAACAGAATTCTTTGTGAGGTCTAACGAAGCCTTTGAGAGTATATTTGTCTTTTCCATGGGACTGTAGGCTTCCAGAGGGCAGACCTCATGGTGGATTTATCCTTGTGTTTGTCTCAGGCCTTGCAAAGAGTTTTGTACACAACAAGTGCTCAACAAATGGCTAACAAAGTAAACTGAATACTGTCTTAAAGCTTTCTTGAATGTGATTTGTGGTTTGTGTCTGAGTATTCACCCCCACTATGTCGAGTGCATATGGTGCTTCTCTAGTTCTTTGCAAGGAAAGATAACTTGGCTTGGTGGTGGAGAAGGATGGGTGTCCAAAGTGAAACTCATCTTCTTCCTCCACCCACCTGCTCCTGCTTGAGGTCCCTATCTCTGTGAACATAGCACAGTCAACCCACTGCTCATACAAGATACCAGGGATTGTCCCTCCCCTGCTCTTCCCTCTCCCTCTTTGTTGATAGCCACTCAACTGCCATGTGCTGGGGATCCCTTCTCCTAAATCTTTCCTCTTCAGCCATATCTCTTCATCCCTGTCCACCCCCAACTTAGTCTAGGCTGCCTCCAGCTCTGGCTTGGATCCCGTCTCACTTCTCTGCCTGCTTCTAGCCTGGGCCCCCATCCCCTCGTCTCATTCCATTCCCTACTGGGCAACCAGAACCATCTTTGTCAACCACAGACAGATCAGACCAGCCTCTTTCCTGCTTCAAACTCTGCATGGTTCTGGTTACCTAGAGCAGTGACCTCCAAAATAAGGGACCCACAAACTGGGGGCAATGAAGAATGATCCCCTTGAGTATGAGAAGAAGGTATTGAAATTTCTTTTTCGGTTTATTTTCTACTTTATCCTTTAGAAATTATATTTCTGTACATGTTTTACATATTTCATTATATTTCTATGCTTAGTTTACATTCAATAGAGTCTGAGGCAGAGATTTGGATGCATGGGGCTTACTGCAAGAGTGAGCTCAGGAGAAACCTATGAGAGAATAAGAGAAGTGGGATGGAGTCTCATGCCTGTAATCCCAGCAATTTGGGAGGCCAAGGGGGGTGGATCGCTTGAGCCCAAGGGTCTGAAATGAGCCTGGGCAACATAGTGAGACCCTGTCTCTACAAAGAAATACAAAAATTAGCCAGGCATGGTGGTGCATGCTTGTAGTCCCAACTACTCAGGAAGCTGAGGTGGGAGGATCACTTGAGCCGGGAAGGCGGAGGTTGCAGTGAGTCAAGATCAAGACTGTGCCACTGCACTGCAGCCTGGGCCACAGAGCGAGACCCTGTCTCAAAAAAAAAAAGCAGGATGAGGTACAGGGAAATAGCTAAGCAAAGGTGTGGCCTCAGCTGGAGTCTAGCTTCAGCCTGAACCCAGGGGGAGCTCTGGAGGGTAAATTGCACTGCAAGGAGTCAAGTTGACTTTTTGTGTACCTGTGTCAGCCACCTGACCTTAGGCTGGTGAGGGGTGTCAATTTCCAAGTGAGTCCATTCTCCTTAGCCACGGGAAATTCTTTGGATAGGAGGACAGCTGTGAGCAGTGAGCAGTAACACTCCTGCTATGTCCACAGGTGTGAGGGACAGATGGGACCCATTTGTTAGTTTCATATGTTCTTTATTTGAAAAAAGATCTTCAAACTATAGGTGTAACTATTTGTTTTATACCATTACTTTACTTATCTTTTTTGGAATAGTAATATTTTGTATGTTGGATTTTATTATTTGTCTTCCATATCTGTTATTTTTCTTTTATTCTTTTTCACTTTAGTTTGTTTTGTTTTTCTCAAATTTTCTTCTGTGTCTCTTATATTTTAATCATGTCAATTTGACTCTGTTTACTTCTATTTTTACTGTATTTTTCATGTTCACACTGAACTTTTTGAGAACCATTTCATCCCCTTCTGCTGCCTTCGAATTTCTTCCCTGAATGCTTTTTGCTCTGGGCTAGATCCCAGCTGAGGAGGCCGCACCTTTGCTTAGCTTTTTCCCTTAACTCCATCCTGCTTCCCTTATTCTCCCATAGGGTTTTCCTGAGTGCATGCCTTCGGTAAGCCCCATGCATCCAAATCCTTGCCTCAGGCTCCATTGAACTTGAAAACTAAGATAGTAACATGCAAAGAAATATAACTTTAAAAGGACAAAATAGAACTAGACATTGTCTCTTGTTTCTTAGAGTCAATGGTTTTTGTTTTGTTTTGTTTTGTTTTTTTTGATGGAGTCTCACTCTGTCACCCAGGCTGGAGTGCAGTGGAGCATCTCGGCTCTCTGCAAGCTCCGCCTCCCGGGTTCACATCATTCTCTTGCCTCAGCCTCCCAAGTAGCTGGGACTACAGGCGCCCGCCACCATACACAGCTAATTTTTTGTATTTATTTAGTAGAGACGGGGTTTCACCATGTTAGCCAGGATGGTTTTGATCTCCTGACCTAGTGATCCGCCCACCTCGGCCTCCAAAAGGGCTGGGATTACAGGCATGTAATCCAGCATATAAACCACACCCGGCCGACAATGGTCTTATTAAGCATTTTAAACAATCATTGTGATGTAGTTTGCCTCAATTATGTCAACTTTTTATTATAGAAATATCTGGATATATGCAAAAGTGGGCAGACTTGCATGCTAAACACCCAGGTGTGCATCATGCAGCTTGAACACGCAGTCTGTCTGTTCAGGCCAAGTCTAGAATCTGTAGCTACGGCCTGGGAGGGTGGTGGAATCAGAGTGGACACCTTTGCAGTCTGTTAACAGCAGTGATGTCGTGAGACATTTGATAGGGGATTGATGTGTCATACCTAGAACAAGGGCCCCAGAATGACCTTGTCTGTTTCATGTCCTGCTAAGTATTCAAAGCCCAGCCAAGGTCCAGCACAACATGGGCATCCAAACATTTGTTAAGAGAATGACCGTCCTCAGCTTCTTGTTCCTGGTCTATCATTATTATTATTTTTATCATTATTATTGACAAAATTGCATATAGCCCTTAGTGCATGCCAGGCACTATTCTAAGTGCTTGATATGTATTAATAATTTACCCTCAGAACAACCCTGTGAAGTAGATATTATTATTGTTCTCAGGAAACTAAGGCACGGAGAGGCTAAGTCTCTTGCCAGAGGCCACTCAACTGGTAACAGAACCAGGATTCTCATTCAGGCCTGCTGGCATCTGCGACCTTGCCTGGGAATGTCCTTGAGTTTCCTTGTCTGAGGGCAGCAGTCAGCAGAAGGAGGTTGGGCAGTCCCTGTGGGTGGTGTCGGGATGCAGACTGGAGGAGAAGGGCCAGGGGACTCAGAAGCAGGGCTAAAGAGGGGCTGAGGGGCAAGGAGGGCGTGGTAAGGGAGAGGAGGGCCTAGCAGAGTCGTAAGGATGGGATCTCGAAGGAGACAGACCAGGCGTGAAGTCCCGCTGCCCCTTCATCGGCTGCGTGTCCTTTGTCAAGTCATCTCTTTATTGGGAAATTCATTCTCTTGATTTATAAAATAGGCTTCATAATCTGACCTCAGGGTTACTGCTTTGTCACTGTCCTGTCTCTGATACCCCTAGATGGCTCCTGTTGCTCACCCACCCATTCACTGAATGAATGAAGCAGTGCAGCCTTCGATAGCTGTTTAAGTCTCTTGCAGTAGTATTACTTGGTGCTGGCTACCGCTTGAAACCCACAAGTTTGGTCAGGATCTGGTGAATATTTTGGTTTGAGAGAGGTTTTCTCAAGGATTCTGGGGGTGCAATGGCATGTATTTTGGGGGCTTATCTCTCAGCATGTGGAAGGGACATAAAGCTTCCTTCTCTTCAGCTTCCTCTGGGGTTGGCAGACACTTTGGTTCACACTAGGCAAGAGAGTGTATTGGTTGACAGTGGCAGCTCTGGATTCAAACAGACAGGTTCAAATTTCAGACCGCTTCCTACACACATGATCTTGGTCAGCTTATTTAACGTCCCAGGGCCTCAGTTTCCTCATTTGTAAAGTGAGGGTAAAGAAATGTATTCCAGCCCTGTTTTAAGGATTAAATGAGGAAATACAGGTGAACACAGCTTGGACAGTTCCCAGCACATGGTGGTGCTTGGTAAATGCACACACACCGAATTCCTTTGTGCATCAAGGAAGGGGTGATTGTGAATATTTTCAGATGTGTCCTTACCCACACCTGAGTAGATGGAGATTATTGCAGGGCTCTGCCCACAACTGAGGAACTGCCTTCTTGTCATATAGAGTACTACTAAACATCTATAAAACAATTGCGTATGCCAGGCACTCTTCCAGATACTTTATTTACATTACTTAATTTAATCTTCACAAAAATCCTAGGAAGTAGATACTATATTACCCTATTTTTCAATAAAGAAGCAGAGGATCAGAAATGTTAAGTGACTTTCCTGAAGTCACACAGCTAGCATGCGACAGAGATGGGCTTTAAACCCAAAGCTAGTGAACTGAACCAAAATGCTATCCTTTCTCTCTAAAGTCAGTGAAACTCAGTGAGAGAGGGATATAGTAACTTTCTGGCTCTCCCCTGTTCTTTTATCTTCTTCAGACAGCAGCTGTTCACCTGCAGTCTCAGGAGGGAGGAAAGGGCCCATTAAGGGAGTGAGGACAGCATCATTTCCGAGCAGACTCTCCAAGTCTCAGATGATGAGCTACTGCACTTCTGGACTGAGCTGATATCTCTGGAGCAAGGCACAGAGAAAGTGAAATGGGCAGAGCTGGCGAGATGTGCAGAGCACATCTTGTGTCTTCCACAGAGCTGGGAGTGCTTGGCTGGTTCAGCTCAGAGAATAAAATTTCCCATTGTTTACTTCTCAGTATATAAATATTTTTAAGTGAGCAGTATGAAAGAACAGCAGAAGGATTGTTGAATATGAGGGTGGAGGATGGGTGAAGACAACCAGTGGAAAATGGGCAGAAGGCTGATGGTGAGACTCCTCAGGGTGGTGGCAACGGAGAAGACAGGTGGGGTAAACTGGCCAGAGAAACAGCAGTCAGCCAAACTCTTGAGAGACCTGGTAGCTTGACTCAGAGGAAGAAACTGGGCTTTGGAATTGGAAAGTTTTTAACTTGTCACTTCCTGGGTGGGTAATCTTGGGTCAATGACTTCCTCTCTCTGACCTCAGTTTTCCTATCTGTAGTGTGGGGAAGAGGGTGGCTTGATAATCTCTTTGCTCCCTGACCTAACTCTCTTGTTGTCTTATTTTGGGGCATGTTTAAAGATGTTAGGGATGGCAAGAGTGGCCTCCCTCAAGCCCTCCAGGGATAGGACAGGTCATTCTGCATCTGTTAAAGTTCCTTGCTTCATTTGGCACATGAGGCTGCCAAAATGCAGGCCCGAAATTGGCACTCTTGTCTGCCAGGAGCCTGAAGTTTTTGCAACCAAAGGGAGAAGCCTCATTAGATCTTGCCAGACAGCAGTGTCCCTGGAATATGTCGAGGGCCCCAAAGTGCCCTGGAATCTTGAGCCTGGAGAAATGTGGACAATGGATAGGCTATGCGAGGAGCCCAGGATGCTTCAGGTAATGGGCATGCCCTAGCACTCCACACAAGGTGATGTGGAAGGTGCCCAAGTGCAGGGAGGGAAGCCTGATCTGAGGCCCCGGCGACAGCTGATAGGGTCAGACAAAGGCACCATGGAGAGCTCCTCAGGGAGCCATGGTCTACGGGGTGACTTGGCCAGCAGCTTTGCCCAAGCAGACTGTACCATACTGAATGGTAGCAAACTGGGCCAATCAGGGTCTCTGTTTGTATATGTAAAAATTCTAGGTGAATAAAGAGAAAATGAATCTCTTGGGTCAGACTGTGATCCATGATGTTGACACCATGCTATCAAGATGGAGGTTCACCTCTGTTTTGGAAGCTCTGGGACCAACTGCAGCGTATGAGGCCAAATTTCATTTCCCCTGAGAAAAATAATATTTCAACACTCTCCAGGAGGCCTTGAAATACAATGTATGGTTTTCCAACACCAGGGGAAGAAGCAGTGTTTGTTTTCAGCTGCCTAGTGGGTTGTGCCAAAGAACAAGACCACATTTTGTAGTGAATTCTTGGAGCATTTCTCTGGCCCAATAACAACAACAACTTCTTCTTCTTCTTCTTCTTCTTCTTCTTCTTCTTCTTCTTCTTCTTCTTCTTCTTCTTTCTTCTTCTTCCTCTTCTTCTTCCTCTTCTTCTTCTTCTTCCTCTTCTTCCTCTTCTTCCTCTTCTTCCTTCTTCTTCCTTCTTCTTCCTTCTTCTTTCTTCTTCTCATTCTTCTCCTTCTTCTCCTTCTTCCCCTTCCCCTTCTTCCCCTTCTTCCCCTTCTTCCCCTTCTTCTTCTTCTTCTTCTTCTTCTTCTTCTTCTTCTTCTTCTTCTTCTTCTTCTTCTTCTTCTTCTTCTTCTTCTTCTTCTTCTTCCTCCTTCTCCTTCTCCTTCTCCTTCTCCTTCTCCTTCTCCTTCTCCTTCTCCTTCTTCTTCTTCTTCTTCTTCTTCTTCCTCTTTGAGGACTAATTGCTCTGTGATTGTCTTTACTGGGTGGAGGAGGCAGTGGTGTCAGGAGGTGGCAGAGGAGGGAATAGGAAGAGGCACAGTTGACCGAGAATTAAGGTTTAGAGGGGAAAATTCTGAATGACTCTGTGCTTTGCCAAGGGCATTGCTGGGACGACCTTGCTGCATGACTACAGAAAACATCCTATGTTAGTTACACAATTCATCATTCACAAAGCAAAGGTGTACCTGCAGAATCTCATCTAGTACTCACAGCAATTCTGAGAGGTAGGTGGTATAATTCCCATTTCACAGATGTAGAAACTGAGGCTTGGACAGTTTCTGCCTTTAACAAATATGAATTAAAGAGTCATGGGGGAGGTGTTCTCTGCCTACAGTCCTACAATGAAAACTTTCACCAAATGCAAAGAATCTGAGGCCCAGAGAGGTTAAGTGACTTATCTGTAGTCACACAGCTAGCAAATGGCAGAGATGGGTTTTAAACTGAAAACAGTCACCTCCAAAGCCTGTGCATTTAACTATTATGTTACATTGTGTTGTGGTTGATCCATCCATCCATCCATGTATCTGTCTATTTTTAAATTTATTGAGCACCTCACTGTGTGTATCCAAAATGTGATTCTTCCTTGACTGCCAAGAGCTAGCTGTCTTCTATCATTCTCCTTCCATCCACCCATCCATCCACTCATCCATCTACCCATCCATCCATTTATCCATCCATCCTCACACTTACTGAGTTCTCTACTAGGTTGCAGGCACTGTGCTAGGCTTTGAGGGTATAATGATAAGCATTACAGGCATGGCCTGCCCCGATGGGTTAACAGTCTATAGGGGGAGACAACAAACAAGGCAACAAATGATTACAACCCTTGATAACCCACAAAGGAATGAATCTGAGGATAAGAATCTCTCTGATTCTCAAATTAGGGAACATTCTTGTAAATGAAGAACAGGTAGGAGTTAGCAGAGCAACACAGTAGGAAGAGGGTTCCAGGCAGGGAAAACATGTTCCAAGCCTTGAGGTGGGAAAGACCATGGAGGCCAGTGTGGCTGGAGCAGAGTGACTGTAGGAGAGAGTGTCCGGGGATGACTTCAGAGAAATATGCAGGACCAGATGTACAGGGCCTCATGACTACAGTAGGTGTGATAGAAAGCCAGGAAATGTTTTATCCAGGCAGAATGACATGAATGGACTTGAAGGCTACTGTACCACTCTCATCCCACCTCCACCTGGTTTCACCTGGGGATTGGACACATTCCAATTGCCTTCGGGGATGGTGCTGGAAAAAATGTTAACTGTCATTTATTAAGTGCTCAGTGCATGTTTTATGTGTTTTTCCTGTATTATTACATTTATCCTTATGACATCCTATGGAGTAGGTACCATTATTATTTCCTTTTACAGGGAGAAACTGAGACTCAGAGAAGTTAAGACATTTGCTCAAGGTCAGCTTGAGGGGGATTAGAATAAAGGCTCATGTTTGTTTGACTTCTTTAGGTGTGTATATGAACTTGCATCCATGTCTCAGTCCCAAGCCACATGGCTAGAATCGAATCATTCAGAGAAGCCAGGGCTGGAATGAGAAGGAATGCCTCTCAAGTAGCTGGAAGTTGGCATTAGAGACCAGGCTTATTTAGCTTGGATTCCAGCATTAGAACACCTTGACCTTGTGTCTTCTGGGTGCCTCATTACTCACTGGGGGTGTGAGAAGGGAACGATTGCACCAAGGGGAGTTGCTGCAGCTGTTGTTAGAAGGCCTGATGTTTCTGACCTCTTCCTACCTCTTCCTATGCCTCAACCCTTAGTGGCTCCTCTAGATGCTATGAAATCCACAATCCATGTCATCCTCGGCCACGAACAGCAGCCAGAGTGGAAAGCTCCATAGGACCAGAGCGCCAACGATACGAAAGTGATCTGCTTCGTCAAAGCAGGGGCTCTTGCTCTGTGCCTGGCTGGCCCTCGACGCAAATTACTCTGATCTGAGCAGCTGGGCCTGGTTCTGGGAGATCTGAATTCAGACAAATCTGGAATAGAGTGCAGTGAAAAAGGAGAGACTCAAAAGTCAGATATAGCTGGGACCCAACCTCACCTTGGCCAAGTACCAAACCTTCTAGCTGTGTGACCTTGAATAATTTAGATAATTTCTCTGAAGTCAAAGTTTTTACAACATCTAGATCAGTTTCCCAAAGCCAAAATCAGTACAGTGAGCTATAAGCAGAATATTCATAGCTGATAAAACTGAGCACTTGTTATATGCCCAGGACCATGCCAAATGAGATGTGTATATATTTGAGTATATATGTAATGAGTGTATATGCATATGCATATATATGTACATATTTTAATCTAATAATCTTGAAAACCCTATTCGCTGCACATACTATTCTTATTTTATAGATGAGGAACTGAGGCTCAGAGAGGTTGAGTAATTCATCACAGTTTATTAAGTGGCAAAGCCGAAATTTGAACCAGGGCAGCTTAACTCTTCATCACTCCCTTTCATTGCCTTAAATATCCTCCCTTTTCTAAGGTATTAGGACTTCAAGTACAAACTCCAAAGCCTTCTGAGACAGCAAAGGCCTTATTTATAGGCATCTGGAAGTCATAATTTGAAAGTGGAAATCACCTTTACTAAATTCCATGTCGTAGTCAATTGGGTGTGGAAACTGCACAATTCCAATGGTATGAATGTCTTCTTTATCCCAGTTGGTGCCTGCCCTAAATTAAAATCCCCTGAAGGTACTGCTCTCTTAATTAACTGTTTGCCTTGTTAGGATTGTAAACATTTTCCTTGTTGTGGAGTGGGTCACATCAGTTAAAAGCAGAGACAATGTCGAGCAGGAGGGCAGTGCGTCCAAGCCTGCTGGGAAGCAGAGCCTTCCCTTGCCTGCTGCGGTCCTTGCATTTCTACTGGGAGGTCACAGAGACATAGACCCCTGGCATGACCGCTCCTCCCATACAGCAAGCAGCTACCACATGTTATGGGCTACCTACAGATGTTGGGAACATGGGTTTGGAGCCATTGAGACCTGGGTGTGGGTTCTTGCCTCTTCCTGTGCCTCAGTTTTCTTAGCAGTGACATGGGATGGGATGGTATTTGCCTCACGGATGGAGATGTGGCTTGAATGAAGAGATATGTGCACTTAGTATAGGGCTGATGCTTAACAATGAAAGCTTTTCTACCCTACTCCTTCCATCTGCTCCAGTTCACATTTCTTATGCTTTTTGACCAGCCAGCAACATTATAATGTTCTCCCTATGTGTAGGTATTTTCCCTTGTTAAGAGTCCTACCTTCCCAAGGAAAAAAGCCAGAAACTCACTTTGCCATCTCCTTTTCAATCTTGTGGTGCAACCCTGGGACCCAATTCAGATGACCTGATTTTTTTTTTTTAAAGTCTTTTTAAAGAATAACAGATGGCCGGGCGCGGTGGCTCACGCCTGTAATCTCAGCACTTTGGGAGGCCGAGGCGAGAGGATCACGAGGTCAGGAGATCGAGTCCATCCTGGCTAACATGGTGAAACCCTGTCTCTACTAAAAAGACAAAAAATTAGCCAGGCGTGGTGGCAGGTGCCTGTTGTCCCAGCTACTCGGGAGACTGAGGCAGGAGAATGGCGTGAACCTGGGAGGTGGAGCTTGCAGGGAGCAGAGATTGTGCCACTGCACTCCAGCCTGGGCGACAGAGCAAGACTCCATCTCAAAAAAAAAAAAAAAAAAAACAGATATGCAGAAAATCACATAAAGCATTAATATATTGCTTATTACATATTTACAAAGTGAATATATTCCGGTAACCAATGGCTAAAACACAAAAAGAGAACACTACCGGCTTCCCAGAAGACCTCACTAAACCCCTTTCTGGTCCTTATTCCATGTAAGTATCTACTATCTTGACTTTTGAAGCACAGGCTAGTTTTGCTAATTTTTTTTTCATTTTTTTAAAAACAAAAACAAAAACAAAAACGGGATACATGTGCACAACGTGCAGGTCTGCTACACAGGCATATGTGTGCCATGGTGGTTTGCTGCACCAAATGACCCATCCTCTAAGTTCCCTCCCTTCACCCCCCACCCCCAATAGGCCCCAGTGTGTGTTGTTCCCCTCTCTGTGTCCATGTGTTCTCATTGTTCAGCTCCCACTTATGAGTGAGAACATGCAGTATTTGGTTTTCTGTTCCTGTGTTAGTTTGCTGAGGATGGTGGCTTCCAGCTTCCTCCATGTCCCTGCAAAGGACAGGATCTCATTCCTTTTTATGGCTGCATAGTATTCCATGGTGTATATGCACCAAATTTTTGAACTTTATATAGATAGGATTAAACAGCATGTGTTAGTATGTATCATTTTGCATCTGGCTTTTTCAATCACCATTTAGGTTGTTGTTGGGATTTTTGTTTGTTTGTTTGTTTTTGAGACAAGGTCTCATTTTGTTGCCCAGGCTGGAGTACAGTGGCGCAATCTTGGCTCACTGCAGCCTTGAGCTCCTGGGCTGAAGTGATCCTCACACCTCGGCCTCCTGAGTAGCTTGGACTACAGGCATGTGCCATCATGTCCAGCTAATTTTTGTATTTTCTGTAGAGACAGGGTTTTGCCATGTTGCCCAGGCTAGTCTCAAACTCCTGGGCTCAAGTGATCCTCCTACCTCAGCCTCCCAAGTGCTGGGATTATAGGTGTGAGCCACCGCGCTGGGCCTTACTCAACACTTTGTAAGATTTATCCATATTGTTGCATGTGGTTTATTCATTCTCATTTCAGTGTAGTACATATTCCACTGTGTGAACATACCTGTTTATTATTCTATTCAACTGTTGATGGACATTTGGGTTATTTCTAGTTTTCAGCTAATACAAGTAGGGCTGGTATGAATATTGTTTTACATGTTTATTGGTGAACTCATAAGCATTTGTTTGGGGCATATATAGATATATATATATATGAATAGAATTGTTGAGTCATAGGTTATGTATGTGATGGCTTTTGTTTATAGCAATTTATACTGCCACCAATAATATATGAGAATTCCAATTGCTCCAACACTTGGCGTTAACTATCTTTTTAACTTTAGCCTATTATGGTAGTGATAGGTATTGCATTGTGGTTTTAATTTGCATTTCCCTGATATCCAAAGACCTTTTCTTTTTTCTTTTTTTTTTTTTTTTGAGATGGAGTCTCGCTCTGTCACCCAGCCTAGAGTGCAGTGGCGCGATCTCTGCTCACTGCAAGCTCCACCTTGGTTCACGCTATTCTCCTGCCTCAGCCTCCCAAGTAGCTGGGACTACAGGTGGCCGCCACCATGCCTGGCTAATTTTTTGCGTTTTTAATAGAGACAGGGTTTCACCGTGTTAGCCAGGATGGTCTTGACCTCCTGACTTCGTGATCCGCCCCCCTCGGCCTCCCAAAGTGTTGGAATTGCAGGCGTGAGCCACTGTGCCTGGCCTTTTCATGTATTAATTGGCCAGTTGGATATTGACTTTTGTGGACTTCCCATTTATGTCTTTTGCCCATTTTTTCTCTTGGGTTGTCTGGCTCTTTCTTATTAATTTGTAGGAGTTCTTTTTATACTTTGGATAAAAGTCCTTTTTGATTTTGCAAACATTCATCTTCATTCTACTTGTTGTCTTTTCATCACTAGTAGATTATATCTTTTGATTACTATTAAGAGTTTAGTTGCGGTTCAATGTGATATTTCCCTTTAGTTAGAACTTTTGTCATCTATTTAAGATACCTTTGCCAACGTCAAGGCCATGAGGATATTCTCTCATGTTTTTGCCTAAAAGCTTTATTGTTTTACCTGTCACATTTATGCATAATCCATCTGGCATTGATTTTTGTGTATGCTGTGAGGTAGGGTTCAGGATGAATCTTTTCCTCACATGAATGTCCAATTAACCTAGCACCAGTATTTGAAAATAACATCATCTCTCTTCTGCTTGCAGTGATACTTTTGTTATAAATCAGATGATTATGTACGTGTGAGTCTGCTTCCGGACTCTATATTTTGTTCCACTGGTCTCTATATCTAACCTTAAGGAAACTTTCACTTGGAAGAGAGATTTGTGAAGAAGGAGGTGCCCTGAGGAACCCATTTTTTGGTGATGATTGTGGGAGAAGCATAGAGAAATGTATTCAGCTTCTAGAGGCGGCTGTGGCACGGTCCTAAAGCTGTAGTAATTTGAATTACAGTATCTAGGGCCTCTGTGGCACTGGCCATAGGGTCTCCTTGGAGCAGTCCATGGGTATAATGTGGGCATTGCCCTTGGCTGTGTAGGCTTTAAGCTTAGTTCTTGGTTCCTTCCATTAAGTATGAATACAAAAAAATTGAAACCTCTGTGCTTGCCTTCCCCTGAAACCAATTTGCCACTGCATGCTCCTTTCCCGGTAAGCTGTGAAATACAAGGTCTCCTTGTAATACTTTTATACACTGCTCACTGCAATTTAATATATGAGACACTGTATCATAGTCTGGAGGTTCAAAATTACCTCGAAGTAATCATTTCCTAGAGGGTTGGTAGTAAACATTATGTCACATAGCTATAGACTGTTGCCTGTCGCCATCAATCAGCCCCCCAGGGAGATATTAGAGAGAATGATACAGGAGCGAACAGAGAACTGGTGAGTGTCTGCACGTGGCTGCCAGGTCTCTGCAAAGGAAGACAGGCTTGGTGGTCTGTGGTAAACTGGCTTTGCCGGGGGTGGCTCCTTCAGCACTAAGGAGCTGGAGGTGTGGGTTCAGGCCCTGAGTGGCCTGTTGGCCTAACTCAGCTTCAGGTTCATGGGATCCTTTATCCTTAACCTTTGCTCTCTGATACCTTCCCTAGTGATTTGGACCAAACCCATCACCTGTGTTTGCAAAGCAATAGTAGTTGCCGTTAATGAGCACTCACTCTGCCCCAAGAAATCTAATCATTTTCATGCATCATCTCAATCTTCAGAGTAACCCAAGGATAGAGTTATAATATTAGCCCTATTTTAAATCTGAGGAGACCAAGGCTTGGAGATCTTGGCTAACCTGCAAGATCATGGCAAAGTTAGGATTTGAACCTGGGGTGTTCTGCTTCCAGAGGCCGGGTGCTAAGTCACTATGTACTCATTCTCTTACACATCCAGCTCTGCACTGGGCCCATTAGCCTGTGATCTCAC
The DNA here is from genome assembly GCF_000001405.40 of Homo sapiens. NCBI lineage: Eukaryota > Metazoa > Chordata > Mammalia > Primates > Hominidae > Homo > Homo sapiens. The sequence continues at coordinate 107,964,437 of NC_000012.12, forward strand.
TAAATATTTAAGGATGCTGCTTTTGTCCTCATTGTACAGATAAAGAAACCGAGGCCATAAGAAGTGCAGCTGCCCATCCAAGTTCAGTGAGTAGATGGCATTACTGAGGTTCCACCCCAGGGCTCTCAGGCTATACATCTGAAACTTCCTTTTTGGGTAGGCAGATAAAACATCTCTGTCTGCAGAGTGAAGAATGTTTGCAGGTTCATCTCATGGACCTAATGTCTCTGTGAACTTAGGCCTATGTCCCCAAAAGGGGCAGATCAGGTTTTGGCAAACTGACATATAAACAACTTAAATTACCTTCTTAAAACATAAAATTATTAATAAAACTTAGGTATGGACATATATACTTATTTAGTAGGTGCATTCAAGTAAGGGGCCCTGAAACTTATACTTCATACACTTCATAGCAAATCCACTCTAGTCTCCAGTCTTCTGTGGACTCCCACCTTGGATGCAAATCTCCAAAACTCAGAAGGCTTTTCCTGTCTCTGCTGGACTTTTAGAAATCTGAGCATGGAAAGCAGCACAATGTGGATGATTTGGAAGTGTCAGCATCTCAGTGTCATCTGTGGTCCCAAACCAGGACTGGAGCTGCAAGGGGTGAGGACTCTGAGTGACTCTAAGCTAATGTCACTCAAAGTGTGGTCTCTGAGCTGGGGGTCTATGAGATGTTTGTTACCAGTCCAGGACAAGATTGGTCAGACACCAAGAACTGGCATTTGGAAACTTTTATAGCAATTCAGTACTGCAGAGAGTCCAAGTGTCCCGTTAAACAGGGTGTAGACAAGTTTGCATCTGGCTTTTTTAAACACCGATGAGTTGCTTGTGGTTCCAGCTGGTAGTAGTCATGCACAGTAGAACCATGTATCAGGCCATAACATTTTGGGAGAAAACCAAAGCTGGTCCTTTACCATAGACAGTTTGAGAAGCACTGGTCTAAGCCTTATTGGGGGATGTCATTTTTTTGAATACACCCAGTCATCAATCAATGTTTCATTTCACAAACAAGCAAACCTCAAACCAGACCACACCAAGACAATGATAACAGCAGCAGCAAAATCCCAAATCTGACCCAATCATAATTTGTTTGTGGTCTGGTTTAGTTTTGATCTGGGTAATCTCATGGCCTCCATTTTTGTGCAGGCTTAGAAGAAAGTAGTTCCAGTCTCTTTCAAAGTGTAGCCCAAGGACAACTGCCTTTATCCAAATTGCCTGAAAAGCTGTGTTGGTTCCTATTGCTTTGTAAGAAATCACCATGCACTTAGCTTAAAACAACACAAATTCATCTTGCCATTTCAATGGGACAGAAGTCTGAGTCCTGTGCTCAGGATCTCCTCAGGCTAAGATCAACATATTGGCCAGAGATGGGCTTGAGGTCCTTTTCCAAGCTCACCAGTAGGTAGCAGAATTCAGTTCCTCGAGGTTGTAGGACTGAGGTCCTCAGTCCCTAGTGGCTGCCCACTGTTCTCTGTCATGTGGTCATCTTCATAGTATGAAATTTTGCTTCTTCAAGGCCAATAAGAGTGTCTCTGTTACCTTGATCTCCCCAATGTCTTCCATCTCTGACCTCTACATCCTCTTCTAAAGGACTCACCTGATTAGGTCAGGCTTTCCAAAGATAATCCTCCCCTTGATTTACTTGTTAACTGGTTAGGGGCCTTAATTACATCTACAAATCCCTTCATCTTGGCCACATAATGTAAGCTCATCAGAAGAGTGACAACCATCATATTGACAGATCTCAGCTACACTCAAAGTGAGGGAATTATACAGGGACAGAAAGGGGCAGGGATCTTGGGGGCCATTTCAGAATTCTGCCTATACAGAAGTCAGTTTAAAAAGTAGGTTCTTGGTTCCAAACCCAAGAGAATTGATTTTGCAGGCAATGTGGGACTCCAGAACGCACATTTTAGCAACCTTCCCAGCTACTTTGAGACTATAAGTTACACAAATCTGGGCTTGAGTGTCAGATTTGCCACTTATTAGCTGGGAGGCCTCTAGATAATCATTCCCTGTCTATGACATTCAGTTTCTTCACCTGCAAGGTGGAGTGGGCAAGCCCTACCTTGCAGGATTGTAGAGAGGATTAAATGTGATGCAGATTAGTGTGATGCGGATTGGTGTGTGATGCGGATTGGTGTGATGTGGATTGGTGGATTTTTGATCCCGACTGCACATTAGAATCACTGGGAAGGGGCCCTGAGTCACCTCAGACCAACTTAGTCAGAATCTCTAGGATGGGGTCTAGGCATCAACATTTTTTAAAGCTCCCCAAATTATTATTATTATTATTATTATTATTATTATTATTATTATTATTATTATTATTATTTGAGACAGGGTCTCCCTCTGTCACCCAGGCTGGAGTGCAGTGGTGCAATCACAGCTCACTGCAGCCTCGATCTCCTGGACTGAAGCAATCCTCTTGCCTCAGCCTCTTGAGTAGCTGAGACTATAGCACAAGCACACCTGGCTAATTTCTAAGTTTTAGTAGAAATAAGGTCTTACTATGTTGCCCAGGCTGGTCTCAGACTCCTGGGATCAAGCAATACTCCTGCCTCAGCCTCCCACAATGCTAGGATTACAGGCATGAGCCACCACACATCCGGCCTCCCCAAGTGATTCTGATATGCAGTTGATATATTGGTCAGCCACTGCTACAATAATGCTATGAAATGAATAACTCTGAAATCTCAGTGGCTTACAATAACAAACATTTTTCTACTCTTTTATCTGCAGATGGGCTAGGGTTTGTTTAGTCAGGCTTTGCTCCAGGCAGCGTATGTCCGCTCTGTTTCTCATCCTGAGACCAGGAGCTCTGTGGGAAATGCCCTTATTATGGTGCTGATGGCAGGAATGTTAGAGATTGGAAACATGTGCCACCTCTCGAAGTTCAGCTTAGAACTGGCCTCCTATCACTTCCTCTTACATTACATTGGCCAAGGCAAGTCACATGACTAAGTTCAACAACAGCAGAGCAAGGAAGTAGACTCTACCCACAATGGGAAACACTGCCAAGTCACATGGCAAAGAACTCAGATGGATGAGTCTGTTGAGAGCGGATGTGGGGGTGGGAACAGTAACCCAATTTACTGTGGCTGATAACTATGGATGCTAGGAAAAGCACTTCACAAGGTACCTGGCCAGAGTGGATGCTCAATAAACATCATGTACTCCCCTAGAGCATACACTCTCACAACTTCCTCTGAGGCTCTTGGATGGGAGTGATTCTCCTTCCGTGACTAGTTCCAGGGATGAGGCGCTTTCCCTCACTGGCGTGAAGTCCGTCTCCAGGAGGAGAGGAGCTCGCCATAATGCACCAAGTGCTTTGAGTTCCTGGGAAGAGAGATCCCTATTGGAGGCTGCAAGAACTATGATTATCTACTTAAATATCCATTTTCCCATACACCACTCACAAAGTGCTCTATTTATTTGCACACTCTCCGTAATATAGCAGCGGAGGGAGAATTCATTAAGGCAAATTGTGAGGATAGCTTTCAAAAAAAAATTCATTGCTCTGTTTTATGCAGTACATAGTTCCCTGTTTAATGAGAACTCGGCAACTCCATTTTCCTTAAGGGTTTAATAAAAGTATAATTTAAAAAATTAAGACAGACGGGGAAAGTGCCGAGAGAAGCTATTTTCCCCATTAACTTGCAGAGTAGACCTTCTTGATACTGCAAGATGGGTGGGGAGAAGAAAAACTCCAGGAGTTATCAAGAGTTCTTTAAGGTTACATAAAACTCCGGCCGGGGTTTATGTCGCCTGGGGATTCTTGCTGAACAGATAGGAATTAGATTTATTGGTTAAGTAATGGGGCTGTTACTAGCTGGCAGTTTAATTAATGCTGATATAGGAGCTTTGCTTTCTCTTAGAATTTGAACTACAGAGCACTGGAGGAGGAGACATTTACAGTTTTAAAATTTTCTGAATATTCTTGATTGCCTTTGGATGATAGAGGGAGGGATATTATTGGTGTGGCAATGGCCAATGTCCAGGTGATTCTCAGCTCTCTGCATGTAGTATGTCAGGGGAAAATTGTTAACCACAATTTGGTTTCCTTCCATCCTGCTGCTGATACTGGCTTCTTGAAGCAGGGAAGAACCTAAGAGAGAGTAATTTTAATAATAATGTTATTAAAGAAGCTAAGAATTAGTATTGCTCACATTTTTGAGTGCTTATTTTATTAATTTTCACTGGGAAGCTAGTGTTATCATTATTAGGAAACCAAGGCTCAGTCACACAGACAAAAAATACAGAGCTGGGATTTGAACACTGTGTCCACGTCTCAAATTCTGTTCTGCCCCGTCCTATATGGCAGATGGTCCAACCGAGGCTCAAGGAAGTGGGGTAAAATTCTCAAGCCTGAAGAGCAAGTGAATGCAGAGTGGGAACTAGATCTCTACCTAGCAGCTTTCCCTGGTATGACCCTTGAATTTAATATGGGGATTCTGATGCACTGTGATATTAGTCTGCATGACTCTCATTGAGAAATATAAATATGCTCTCCTTCCTCATGTAGAACACAGTAAGCAGAACTCACATTGATGGAGGGTTTACTATGTTGCAGGCACTCTGCTGAGTGCTTTGTGTTCATTATTACATTTAATCCTCACAATAAAGGGTAGGAGGAAGGTATGTTACTACCTCCCCCTTAGAGATGAAGAATTTGAGGCTCTGAGAGGTCAAATGACTTGCCCAAAGTCACAAATCAGGAAATGGTCCAGACGAGATTCTGACCCAGATCTGTCTGAAACTCCCCAGTCTTTGCACTGGCCCCCAAGAAAACATTGCTTGGGTTTTCCACTACTTCATTTTACCAGTGTTCCAGGCTGGCTTCATCCATGATCACTGGGAGTTGACTATATGCAATTCAGACTGACACTTTTGGGAATTAGCTTTAGCAACTTCCCATGCAAATCCTTCTTCTCAAAAGATCAGAAGGGGTCTGCTTTCCTTCCCTGCATTCCCTTGTTGGCATGTGGTTTTACGGCCTCCTTGATGTGCTGTGTTATAAATCAGGAGGCTCTTCTCTTGGACCTTGAAGAGATGAATGGGTCTTTGAGTATGGAGTAAGTGGGTCAGCAGTTTGGGAAACACGCTCTTCTCTGTCTCTCTTGGGCTGCCATTTATTACATGATCCTTAAGAGAACCACATTCCTTTCCAACCAAGAAAATGTGTATGGTTTTCCTCTATGTTTGATTCAAAAGTAGTTAAAATTTTTTTCTTGACCATGTTGTTAAAGACATTTGAGTTGATGACTAAAGGTAGATAATATCCAGAGAATGGAGAGAATGATTCCTAAATTTATGTTCATATTATCAGGGTTGGTAACTGGCTTTAAGTATGTTAAGTTGGTTTTTGCATTGACCAAAGAAAGTTAGTTTTGATTTTGCAGGGATGTTTGGATTTCCCATTTAGGACCAGCAGAAGTGATTTTACAACACAGATCCCTGCTCTCCATGTCCTCATCCATGCGAGACATCACTAATAGATCATGACACTATTCCCTGCTCAGACCAGTTGTGATATTAAAATCCTTCCTAGTAGAGGGCTTCAGGCAGCCACTGCCACTGATCAAAATTGGATTATTTTGACTGGTCAAGTTTGACTGGATGTTATTTTATGTCCTTTTTGAGTTTTCCTGCCAGTCGGCCTCAGCTACAGGCCAAACTGGGTTGAATTAAGATGCTAATCAAGGCATCGATGGGAAATTAAATGACGCTCAAATTCTTTTTATTATTATTATTATTATTATTATTATTATACTTTAAGTTTTAGGGTACATGTGCACAACGTGCAGGTTTGTTACATATGTATACATGTGCCATGTTGGTGTGCTGCACCCATTAACTCGTCATTTAGCATTAGGCATATCTCCTAATGCTATCCCTCCCCCCTCCCCCTACCCCACAACAGTCCCCAGTGTGTGATGTTCCCCTTCCTGTGTCCATGTGTTCTCATTGTTCAGTTCCCACCTATGAGTGAGAACATGCGGTGTTCCGTTTTTTATCCTTGCGATAGTTTGCTGAGAATGATGGTTTCCAGCTTCATCAATGTCCCTACAAAGGACACGAACTCATCATTTTTTATGGCTGCATAGTATTCCATGGTGTATATGTGCCACATTTTCTTAATCCAGTCTGTCATTGTTGGACATTTGGGTTGGTTCCAAGTCTTTGCTATTGTGAATAGTGCCGCAATAAACATACATGTGCATGTGTCTTTATAGCAGCATGATTTATAATCCTTTGGGTATATACCCAGTAATGGGATGGCTGGGTCAAATGGTATTTCTAGTTCTAGACCCCTGAAGAATCACCACATCGGCTTCCACAATGGTTGAACTAGTTTACCGTCCCACCAACAGTGTAAAAGTGTTCCTATTTCTCCACATCCTCTCCAGCACCTGTTGTTTCCTGACTTTTTAATGATTGCCATTCTAACTGGTGTGAGATGGTATCTCATTGTGGTTTTGATTTGCATTTGTCTGATGGCCAGTGATGATGAGCATTTTTTCATGTGTTTTTTGGCTGCATAAATGTCTTCTTTTGAGAAGTGTCTGTTCATATCCTTCACCCACTTTTTGATGGGGTTGTTTGTTTTTTTCTTGTAAATTTGTTTGAGTTCTTTGTAGATTCTGGATATTAGCCCTTTGTCAGATGAGTAGGTTGCAAAAATTTTCTCCCATTCTGTAGGTTGCCTGTTCACTCTGATGGTAGTTTCTTTTGCTGTGCAGAAGCTCTTTAGTTTAATTAGATCCCATTTTTCAATTTTGGCTTTTGTTGCCATTGCTTTTGGTGTTTTAGACATGAAGTGCTTGCCCATGCCTATGTCCTGAATGATATTGCCTAGGTTTTCTTCTAGGGTTTTTATGGTTTTAGGTCTAACATGTAAGTCTTTAATCCATCTGGAATTAATTTTTGTATAAGGTATAAGGAAGAGATCCAGTTTCAGCTTTCTACATATGGCCAGCCAGTTTTCCCAGCACCATTTATTAAATAGGGAATCCTTTCCCCATCGCTTGTTTTTGTCAAATTCTTAAATAATTAGAAATGAAGGCTTAGAAAAGTGACTCATTGACGATCACATAGCCAATAAGCCAGGGAAGAAGTTTAATAGATTTGGGAGTAAGATAGACCCAGGTTCAAGTCCTGTCTATACCACTTCCTAATTTAGTGATGTTGGGAAAATCACTTCAACTCCCTGAGCCTCAGTTTTCTCATCTGTAAAATGAGAGTATAATCTACTGACCTTGTTGAGCTATGGTGAGAATTAAACAAGATAATGCATATGAAATGCCTAGGGGAGGGCACGGTAGGCAGAAGAAGTACCTAATAAATATCAGAAGTTACTTTACCGGTGTTCTTAAAAGTATCTTGTGAACAAAAAGCTTAATATACATTATTACAAGATCTGAAAACTTTGTGAAGTGGGTACCACTATCCCCATTTACAGATAATGAAATGGAGACTCAGAGAAATAATATGGCTTTCCTAACATTATAAAGTGAAATAGCAGAACAAGAATTCAAATCCCAGATCTGGCAAGGCACAAGTTTTTATCTGCTTAGCCTTATTTAGGTATCCTCATTTCCATGAAACTTACTCTGACCATCCTTTATACATTTCTTTCCTTTTCCTTTCTCTCTCTTTCTTTCTTTCTTTTTTTTTTTTTTTTTTTTTTTTTTTTGAGATAGAGTCTTGCTCTGTCACACAGACTGGAGTGCAGTGGTGCAATTTTGGCTCGCTGCAACCTCTGCCTCCTGGGTTGAAGCCATCCTCTCACCTCAGCCTCCCAAGTAGCTGGGAATACAGGTTCAAACCATTATGCCTGGCTAATCTTTGTATTTTTTGTAGAGACGAGGTTTCATGATGTTGCCCAGGCTGGTCTCAAACTCTTGAGCTCAAGCAATCTGCCCACCCCGACCTCCCAAAGTGCTGGAATTACAAGCATGGGCCACTGTGCCTGGCCATCCTTTATAAATTTCAACACCTCTCTCTGCATGACTATTTTCCCTTACTCTTCTTTATTTTTCTCTCCAAAGCACTTTTTAACTGTCCACCATACTATCTTACTAAATAATTTACTTATTTATTATGCATATATTTTACTCTCTGTCTCTCTCCTACTTGATCATAAATCCCACAGGGTAGGGAATTTTATTTTGTTAACTGCTACATTCACTGATCCTAGTACAGAGCCCAACACACAGTAATAAATATTTGTTGAATAAATGGATGAAGTATACCTGGCTCAAAAGCTTCCATTGTACCACACCATGTCCTAAATAATTTATAATCAGAACTATCATTAGTTGAATGCCTACCATATTTTGGGCATCATGGAGGCATCAAAAATATATTGTTGCAAAGTTTGACCATAACCTTTCGTGGAAGAGATTATTTTCTAGGCTTTGCAGTTGAGGAAACTAACAATCAGCGTGGTTATGTGATTTGGTTTCATCAGACAGCTATTAAAGAGCAAATGAGGAGCCAGGTCTAGGTCAACTGGTCAGCAAGACCTGTTCTCCTTCCCTGGCTCACATACTGTAGGAGACTTGCTTCACTCACAGGGAAAAGGAATGTTCCTGAACACCTGTAAGTGTATGTAAGTATGAATAAATTATATGCAGGTACCACTCTAATAAAGTAATATGGGTTGTACTAGTTTTCTAGGGCTGCAGTGACAAAGTGCCACAAACTGGGTGGTTTAAAAACAGAAATCTAGGCCAGACACTGTGCCTCATGCCTGTAATACCAACACTTTGGGAGGTTGAGGCAGGAGGACTGTGTGAGCTCAGGAGTTCGAGACCAGCCTGGGCAACATAGGGAGACTTTGTCTACTACTAAATTAACAAAACAAAACCAGAAATTTATTGTCTCACAATTCTGGAGGTTAGAAATCCAAAATCAAGGTGTTAGCAGGGCTAGTTTCTTCCAAGGTCTGTGAGGGAAGGGTCTGCTCCAAGACCTTTTCCTTGGCTTGCAGATAGCCGTCTTCTCTCCATGTCTTGTCCCACTGTCTTCTCTGTATGCCTGTTTGCCTTCAAGTTTTCTTTTTTTTTATAAAGACACTAGTCATACTGGATATGGGGCCCACTCTACACCAGTATAACCTCATCTTAACTAATTATATCTGCAATGACCCTATTTCTAAATAAGATCATATTCTGAGGTACTGGGAGTAAGGACTTCAACATATAAATTTTGGGGAAGGCATAATTCAACCCATAACACAGATATTTTATATATAAAATTATATATATGTATATATATAAAATTTTAAAATGATAAGATATAAAGATTCTAGTATTTTTTCCTGGTGAATTAAAAAGTTAGCTTTATTGAGACACCATTCCCATACTATACAATTCACCTATTTAAAGTGTACATTTCAATTATTTTTAGTATATTTACACAGTTGTGCTACCATTACAAGAATCAATTTTAGAACATTCTTATCACCCCATAAAGAAACCCCATGCTGTTAACAGTCACTCCCCAACTTCCTCCATCCCCTGACAACCACTAATCTACTTTCTGTCTCTATAGATTTGCCCATTCTGAATATTTTGTATAAATGGAATCTTATAATATGCAGTCTTTTGTCTGCTTTCTTTCAATTAGCATAATATTTTCAAGGTTCATCCATGTTGTAGCATGTATCAGTTCTTCATTCCTTTTGATGGCTGAATAATATTCCATTGCATGGACATACCACATTTTATTTATTTGTTAATCAGTTAATAAGTATTTGGATTATTCCCACTTTTTGATATTATGAATGGTGCTGTTATGATTATTTGTGCACAGGTTTTTATGTGGACATATGTTTTTATTTCACTTGGTAAAATAACTATAAGTGTAGTTGTTAAGTGATACAGTCACTGTACATTTAACCTTTGGAAGCAAAGTACCTTCTGGACTAGCTGTCCCATTTTACATTTCTACCAACAATGTATAAGGGTTTTAATATATCCATGTCCTCCCCAACACTTATTATTACCTGCCTTTTAAATTAAAGCCACTCTTGTGTGTGTAAATTTTGTCCTAGTATGGTTTTAATTTGCATTTCCCTGATGACTAACAATGTTGAGCATAATTTCATGTGCTTATTTCATATCTTCTTTGGAGAAATGTCTATTCAGATCCTTTGCCCGTTTTTAATTGGCTTATTTACCTTTTCATTATTGAATTCTAAGAGTTCTTTACATATTTTGGAAGTAAGTCCCTTAACAGATACAAGATTTGCAAATATTTTTCTCCTATTCTGTGGTTTGTCTTTTCAGTTTCTTGACGGCATTCTTTAAAGCAAAAATATCTTAATTTTGATAAAGTCCAATTAATTTACATTTTTTATAACTTCTGCTTTTGGTATTGAATTTAAGACATCAAATCTGAGGTTGTGAAGATTGTTTTCTTCTAATAATTGTATAGTTTTAGCCCTTATGTCTAGATCTGTAAAACATTTTGAGTTAGCTTTTGTGTTTAGTATACTGTAGGGGATCAATTTCATTCTTTTGCATGTGAATATCCATTTGTCTCAGCACTATTTGTAGAAAATATTATTGTTTTTTCATTGAATGACCTTGGCACTCATGTCAAAAATCAATCAGCCATTTTCAAGTACACAGTACATTAACTATAGTCACCATTATGATGCAGGACAAGTGAGCCCCAAAACTGGGGCTTAGCCCAGGAAGGTTTTTGGCTTTGCCCAGGCAAGAATTCAAGGGTGAGCTGGTGGTGTTGGATGGCAACTTTTATTAAAGCAGCAGTGCACAGCAGCAGCGGAGGGACTGCTCCTTGTGGAGCAGGGTTACCCCATAGGCAGTGTGCCCAGAGCAGCAGCTCAGAGGCAGGTCTGCAGTCACATTTACACCCATTTTAATTATATGCAAATTAAGGGGTGGATTATGCAGAAATTTCTAGAAAATGAGTGGTATCTTCCTGATTGCTGGGTTGTTGCCATGGACAGGGGTGATAACTTCCAGGTGCTGCCCTGGCAATGGTAAACTGACATGGCACTGGTGGGCATGTCTTATGGAGAGGTGCTTTTTTTTTTTTTTTGAGACAGGGTCTCACTATGTTGTCCAGGCTGGAGTGTAATGGTGCGAACTCGGCTCACTTGAGCCTCCACTTCCCAGGCTCAAGCAATCCTCCCATCTCAGCCTCCTGAGTAGCTAGGACTACAGGTGTGCACCACCACACCTGGCTAATTTTTGTATTTTTTTCTAGAGATGGGTTTTCGCTATGTTTCCCTGGCTGGTCTCAAACTCCTGGGCTCAAGTAATCCGCCTGCCTTGCCCTCCCAAAGTGCTGGGATTACAGATGTGAGCCACTGTGCCCCACCTGGAGAGATACTTTCACTTCTTCCCTGTTTCAGCTAGTCTTCAATATGGTCCAGAGTCCAAGCTCCACCTCCAGAGTCAGTTGAGTCCCGCCTCCTACCTCAATTATGTACAATAAATCTCTTGAACTTATTCCAATCAATTAATCAATCAGTAAACAATCACTTGGCCAAAATATAAGGTTTATTTCTGGATTCTCAATTTTATTCCATTGATCTATATGCCTATATTTTACTACTACCCTGTCTTGGTCTCTGTAGCTTTGTAGTAAGTTTTAATTGGAACTTGTGAGTCCTCCAATATTGTTCTTTTTTAAGATCATTCTCCCTATTCTAATCTCCTTGCATTTCCATATGAAACTTAGTATCAGCCTGCCAATTTCTGCAAGGAAAAAAAGCCAGTTGATATTTTGATAGGTATTGCATTTAATCTGTAAATCAATTTGAGGATTATTGCCTTCTTAAAAATCATAAATCAACATGAGATCTTTCCATTTATTTAGGTTCTCTTTAGTTTCTTTCAACAATATCTTACAGTTAATGGACTGTCTTTTGCATCCTGGGGTAGAGGCTACCTGCTTTGATCATCTCTGGTTCAGGGATTTAGGCACATTCATGAGGCTAATTCTATTACTTGCTGTACAATATTTTCTTTAGCCACCCTTTACTTGACAGCAACTAAGATGGCTCTCAGTGTGACTCTTGGCAGGTAGGAGGATGAGCTGGACCTTCTGCTGAGTGTGCTATATTTCTTATCCATCACTACTGATGATGATGATGATTAGATGAGTACTATGCTAAGTGTTTGTTTTTGTTTTTTTAATCCATGATCTCATTTTATCTTCAAAACATCCCAGTGAGGTAGGAATGATTACCTCTGTTTTGCAGATGGAAAAATTGAGCTTCAGGGAAGCACACATCTAAAAAAGGAGCAGAGCATGTAGTTGAACCAGGTATCTTGACATCCAACTCTGGCCACTTCCAGGCCACCCCAGTATGCCATCTCCCAGGTGGGTGTCAAATTTTGCCAATGAACTGTCTTTCCATTCCCTTTCAGTTGTACCGAAGACATAATAGTTACAGAGTACAGGGCATATAACTTGGCCCTGACTTGCTAGAGTCTCCTCTTCAAATTACCAAAACAGAAGCTGGTTGTATTCTTAGCAGCTGCTTCTGATTTCCATTCTTGGACCAAAATTTTTGTTCAAGAACCAGAAACTTGTTCGACTCATAAAACTCATCAGACCTCATGGGAGGATTGGACTATATGTATGTTCCAGGATGGAGCCCACCAGAATTACTGAAACAGAATCCCTGGGGTGAGCAGGAGTTAAAAGGAGCCTAGGATTTTGAATTTTAATAAGAACTTCAAGTAGTTTATGATCCATCTAATCCAGAAGACATGAGTAATGGAACCCACCCACCCATCCATCATTTTATTCCTTCATCCATCCATCCATCTCCTCATCTTTAAGATTGGGATAGTACTAGTACCCAGCTTATATGGTACATAAGTCAAATGAAGATATATGTAGGACATGCTTAAGAGTGCCTGGTATGTTGTGAGAGCTGATTAAGACTTACACGTGGGCATCTCCTATGGTCCTGGCTTTTTTCTGGTTATTAAAGACACATTAGAAACAGGCAAGGCCTTGTCCTTCTGGTAATGACCATCTAGCTGGAATGAGGACAAATTTGGGCATCAGATCAAACGGGGTTCAACTCTTGCCTCTGCCACCAGCACTGAACATGGACACACCACTGTACTTCCCTGGATCCATTTTATCAAATATAAAGTGAGAATAATGATAGAGTTACTATTTAATAATAATCAGAATTAAATAAGATAATATATATAAACTGCTTCACTACATATTAAAAGATACTTTATTTATTTTTCCTTCTTCACTGATAACTTAAAAAAAGTAGGTAATAGTAGTAATAATAATGATGTTTGCCATGGATTGAATACTTACTATGTGCCAAGTGCTTTACATTCATTCTCAATTCATACGAAGAAGAATAAGAAAGTAAGTACTTACATGGGGCTTATCACACATCAGGCATTGTTCTAAGCACCTTATGATATTAATTAACTCATTGCATGATCACAACTACCTTATGAAGTAGGGATAATTATTATCCCTATTTTATAATAAAGGAGGCTGAGGCTCAGAGAGGCACAGCAAATTGCCTAAGGTCGCACAGCTAGTAAGTGGCAGAGCTGGGATTTAAATCCATATCTCTTTTTAATCTGGGGATGTTAATATTTAACTGCCATGTTATGTGGCTTCCCACAGAAAGGTGGCTAAACACCCACAGGAAATTGGTGGAAAGGATTCCAAACTAATTGAGAGCTTCAATCACCACACCTGCAAATTGAAGCATGTTCCATGGAGCCCCTGTGGAAATTCTCTTGTGACAAAAAGATATGTCCAGACTTACCTAATTTCCCCTCAACTTTGCACAGAGCCAGCTTTGCCAAGTTCTCCTGCCATGCAGGAATCTAGAGAGCCCCTTGGAGGGATTTAATTTCCCTAATCTCGCCAAGCACAAGGAGAGTGTGGGAGACATGAAAGGCACCAGTTATTTATTTCATGAATAGATAACGGCAAGCCATTTAGAGGGAGCAGTGGCAGGAAGATGAAAAAGCTATTAATGCAGTCGGAAGCTCATTTCTTTCAGAGTGGTCAGCAGCAGCGGAGAGGACAAAAATAAGAAAATATTGCAATGGCTGCTCAAGACAACACAAATTATTCAGGAGATACTAAAGTGCATTGTTCACCATCGTAAACATTTTTTTAAATGTTTATGAGCTCTGTTCAAAGGCATCTTGATGGATGAAACCCAATAACCTTTATGGGGGGTGTGCATGTACAAGTGTGTGTGTGTGTGTGTGTGTGTGTGTGTACTTGCATTTATTTTGTTCTAGTTTCCTAGTATTCTTTGTAAATCCTTTCTTTGAGCTGATCCACTCAGCAGTGGATAGACTGGGTCTACATAATGTAAAGAAGTCCGTGCTCCCTAGTTCCCTGAGCAGTTGTCCTGTTCTTGGTGTCCGCTGTGCTACAGATGAGGCTCTGGGAAGCTGGGAGCTGATTTGAAGCAGACTAATAGAAGCAAAAAAAAAAAATTGCTCTGATTCTGGGAGGAGTGAAATGAGGCCGAGTGTAGAGATGAGATGTGGCAGTATTTCCTTGCATGTGTTGGGAATTGTATGTCCCTATCCAAAGCGGGGCCTACCAGGACAAGATTTGGGGAATACTTGCACCACCGAGCCCTGTGAGAGATTCATAATGTATGGGATCTTGTTTGAGGCTGTGTGATTCTTGAAGAAAAATGATCCCTTTAACATAGCTTAGTCCACTTTTTCCAATCATTGACCATAGCGCAGCACCTGTAAAACTCTAATTCCATAGAGAATTCTTTCTGAAACACTACAACTTTTTTTAAGTTAAAAAAATTGAGCAAAGCTGCTAAGCATGGCAATTAAGCCATGCTATCATTTCCATACACAATTATCAGCTCAATTATTTTGAATAAAATGACTTGTCAATTCAGGTTAAATAACTGACCGAATTAGACAACTTACTGGTTTGATAGCTTTTCTTCCCCCCTACTTGAATTGGTTTACTTTTGATTTGGGACTCAGGCGTATAACCAACTGAATTGTTAAGGGTGGATTAATTTTTGAATCCATTAACCAGCTTTGTAGACTGGTTGAAAACACCAGTATGGGAGTCCAATGCACCAGGGTTAAATCCTGGCACTTTCACTTTCTAGAGGTGTGACTTTGGGAAAGTTACTAAACCTCTCTATTGAAGCTTCAGTTTCCTCATCTGTAAAATAAACAATAATAATTAGACTCATTTGATTGGATTGTGGGGTCTCATGGAAGTAATTCAGATAAAAAGCTTAGCACGGGGTTGGCACATAATGAGTTTTCAGTAAGTGTTGGTTATCATCATCATAATTGTCATTGTCATCATAATTAGAAGGAAGGGGCTGAGGATAGCAGGTGAACTGTAAGTTTTTCTTTCAGTCTCAGGAATGCTTGAGGAAAGTTGGACTCTTGGTGGTATCAATAAAAGGAATGTATCCACTAGAGATAAATGATGGTCTTGCTGGGATGGCTATCTGCTCATCACTGACCCAGAGGTGTCCTGAGCACACTTTGTTGTCGCGTTCTTATTTGTTGGGTGTAATTACAGGTGATGTAATTATGGGATGCAGGTGCACCGAAAAATGGGAGCATGACATGCACCCTTCCCATTTTCTATAGAATGTCCTAGATTCTATGTCATTAGCAAGATATTCAAGCTGAGGGACCTGAGATCCTGCAGCTTCCCTGCGCTGAAGTGACCCACAGTCACACCAGTACCCATCCCTAAAGACCAAAATGGTGACTAGGGCATTGGACACTGGGTCTGGGTGTCCATGTCCTTTATGATACTCTTAGGCTAACATGCTACACTGCTTCTTATTCCATATTCCTTTTTTCTTTTTCTTTCTTTTTTTGAGACAGGATGTTCTATAGACCAAGCCAGAGTGCAGTGGCATGATCATGGCTCACTGTAGCCTCAACCTCCTGAACTGAAGTGATCCTCCTGCCACAGCTTCCCTAGTAAGTGGGACTACAGGTGTGCACCACTATACCCAGCTTATTTTTTTAAAGTTTTTATAGAGATGGGGTCTCAGTTTTGTGCCCAGGCTGGTCTTAAACTCCTGGGCTTTTAAAATGAAGCAAAACTCATGCCTGGTAAGCCTATCGTATCTTGTGAGTTTCAGTGACAATTCAAACCTGAAACTTGCTCCAGTGGCTTTGAAAGTATTATGTGATCTGCAGTTAAAAATATCTGGACTTGACTTAGCATTGTAATTTATTCACTGTGTAACTTTAAGCAAGTTACTTAATCTCCCTAAACCTCAGGTTCCTCTTCTGTAAAATGGGAATAAAAATACACACCTCATAGAGCTGTGACTAATTAAACGAGATAATATATGGCAATGCCCAGAACAATGTCTGGCTCAAAAACAGAACAATGATTATATAAAATGCCCACATAATGCTCTGAGCTGAGTCTGGCCAAGGAGATTTTCTGCAGGCTTCTCTTCTGCTCATCAGGGACCATCCTGAGCCAGGCATCACATCTCCAGTTAGTTATAAAGTTGCCCCCTGCCTGGCATTTAGCCTTCTCTAGACATTGACTTGGGGTGTTTTAATCTACAAATACAGCATGAGTTCTGTGAGGCCAGAACATCTAATTCATGTCTAGTTCCCTCCCCTAGCCTTTGGCAAAATACCGTAAATATCTACATTATTTTATGGCTGAAGTGTAGGACACATGTTAGAGTGCTGAGGACATTAAACCTGGACTGGTTTGATGATGTCATGTAGTAAAGGCCAAGCTAATGAGTTTGAACTCTATCTTATAGGCAGTGGGGTGCCATGGAAGGCTTTTGAGCAGGCAAGTGCTAGGATAGGATTCATACAATATTAATAATAATGATGATGTTAATAATGGCAATGGTGCTGATGATGAGAAAATTTGAGCTTCTCCTTTGTACCAAGAACTGTGCTAAATGTTTTACATGTATCTTGGCACTTACTCCTGACAATGACTCTATGAGCTTAGAATATTGGATAATTGGCTGTGTGCTGGGCAGATTGAGGGCAGAATGACTGGAGTCTTTTGAGACTTGATATAGGCTTCCATTAAGGAAGGACAGTGAAAATGGAATTGACAAGCCCTCAAACACATAATGCACATTTGTCAATTTTACTGGTCAGCCAAATATTCCCTTAGTTCAGTAAAATGTTCAACCAAATCAATTTAATCCTTTATGTCAGAACAGCCAAAGTAGTCATGGCTTGTATAGAAAGAACCTTATTAGGTTTAAAGGGATGTTGTGACTTATTTGTAGCTAGGTCATAATGTCCCCCAAGAGGATATTCTAGGGAATGTCTGTGGCAGAGGTTTTCATGGTCTAATGCATGAAGTCGCTGAGTTGGGGCAATTTTCTTTTAGCTAGAGGCTGTGCTCTCCTGACTTGAGACTTTCCTATCTCTTTAGTGAAAAGCTCTTCTGGGACCATTCTGAGAATTCTGATTGGCCACTGGTTATGTTGTTTGTCTTTCACAATTCCATTCTGCATGTTGCCACTATTCCCTCACTTACTTAAGTCACAAACTAGTGTCATCCTAGCAGCCCTCTCTGTCCAGTCTTGTTAATCACCAAGCTTGCCAAAATGAATTCCCCAAGAGCTCTTACATCCATTCCCATCTCCCCATCCCCTTTGCCACCTTCATCCAGGGCACCATTATTACTCATCCCAGGACTGAAACAGCATCCTAACTGGTCTTCCTGCTCCCAGTCTTGCCTCTCCAACCTGTTCTTCACATTGCAGCTGGAATGCTGTTTACAATATTCAAATCTGATATGCCATTCTCTTGCTTCAGAACCCAAACCCCACGTCCTGTCAGTTTAAGAGTGTCCAGGCACTCTCAAATTCTTTCGGGGAATCTAGTTCTTAACCTGACACTGAGAAGCCACGGTAGGTGACCCCATTTCCCCTGCCGCTCACTCCCTTTTTCATGCCCCCATCAGCAGGGGGGTGGGGGAGCTGGTAAATGAGTGCCATATTTCCCTGGGAGGTTCCTCCAGGGCTGTATCTGCAGTTTCAGTGGAGATTGATTAACTTTCAAATGATGAGATTTCTGGGGGCATTTATTGACATATAAATCAAAATCCAATTTTTGTGAAAGAAAATCCCAGCTGGTTCACATGGCAGGATTATGAAACAGTTTTTGCTTTGTGCACAGCCTCCTGTATGATGTAAAATGATTTTATCTTCCACAAAGGAAGCCTGGCTTTTTGACTTCTGCTGGCATTTTCCTGGGTTAATCCTGGCACTGGGTTCAGTTTGAATATTTCCCATATGATTGGCATCCTGAGACTGCCAACTTATGAGGAGAGGAAGAGAAGTGAAATTTATTGAGAGCCTACTATGTACCAGGCTTGTCCCTACAATATCCTATTTTGAGCTTCACAGCAATTAGTGGGGCCTTACCGTCAATCGTGTGGCCATCTTTCCATCTTCTTCCTAAGAAAGTGTGTTAATTACCTATCATTACATAACAAATTGACACATACTTAGCTGCTTCCACCAAACTCACACTTATTTCCTCACAGTTTCTGTGATCAAGTCTGGACGCAGTTTAAGTAGGTTTTCTGCTTAGGGATTTCCAAGTTTTCAATCCAAGTCTTGGCCAAGGCTGTGGTCTCATTTGAGCCTCAACCAGGGGAAGGATCTGCTTCCAAGCTCCCATGGCTCTTTTTAGTGGTCCATTCCTAGTCGGCTGTAGAACTGAGGACCTCAGTTTCTTGATGCTTCTTGGCCAGAAACCCCCAGTTTATTGACACATGACCCTTCCCAACATAGTTGTCTACTTCTTCTGATCCAGTGGGAGAGAGAGAGCCTTCAAGCAGATAGATGTTACAATCTTATGTAACATTATCCCAGAAATGACATCATTCCACAATCTTTGTCATATTTGTCAGTTGGAAGCCAGACACAGGTCCCACACACACTCAAGGGGAGGAGATCACACACAGCATGAGTACGATGAAGCGGGAATCAGGGGGGCCACCCTAGAAGTCTATCTGCCACAGAAAGATTAGTACATTCAATGTCACTCAGCTACCAAGACTCAGGTTGTACCACTATGCTCTCCTGCCAACTGATTCCACAGACTGTGAAAGAACTGCCTGGGGGCTTTACCCTGAATGCTGATGCCAAAGTCATTTATTCATCCCTGGAGCTGCTGTGTTGATTTTAAACCTGAATCATTAAAACAGTGAGGGGAAGTGAAGCAATTCTTCAAAAGACAACTGGGGTATTGTTACCCTAAATGGAGAAGAGATCCTGAGTGTGTCCACTCCTGCTGGAAACAGGCCTCTAAAGGCAGAGATTCTGTGATGGAGCCCAAGTGACCACAATGCACTGTGGCCTTTGGAAAAAGCACACATGGCTGCTCAGGGGTAAATGCCAAACACAGGCTCTTTCCTTCTGATCATCCTTCACAAAAGAGGTCCATGCCATCTGGCTTATTTAACGAAGTCTTGCTGCTCTGTTTTTATTTTCCCACCAACACTCACAGCCACCAGTTTGATGTTTGGAGCTCTTCCAACTCTTGAATTCTGACCAAGACTTTTAAATCCTACATAGCTGTCATATGTAGTTGTATGGGTTGTGCACTGCATAACAGATGCCTGAGAGGGTGAATCATATGGAGACTTTGTTTGCAACAGCAATGAACACGCACATCATCATTTCCCCTTCTTTTTGTGATAACACCCCAGTTTTGTTTTGTTTTGTTTTAGATGCCTTCTCCCTCCATTCTCTAGATTTTATACTACTCATTAAGCCAGGGAGAGTTTTCTGCCTGGGGGAAGAGTCACCTTCTTCCAATTCACATACACAGACCCATCTAGGCTTGCAGCAACCTCGATGACTATTTTCAGGATGGTGAGCCTTCTTCTGGAGTAGGTAGTGACATAATCTGCCTAAGCTGACTTTGAGAGCAAGTGACTCAGAGCTTCTAAAACCAACTGACAGCTACCCAATCACGGTGGAAATTCTGCTTTCAATACACTGCACCTAAACTCCTAAGTCCATATGTAGAATCATTAAGCTGAAGAACGTGCAGCTCCAGCTGTCATGTGCCTTTAAATAAGCCTTAAAATCGACAGCCAAGATTGGACTCAATGCTGATTTTCAGACATAAAGGCTGTGCTAGGGGGGTGAGTATTGAAAAGCCACATTAAAAAATATGCAATCAACACCAGCTGTTGTCCAATTAAATTCAATCGATGAAAGTTGTTTATAGAGATTACACACATACACTTTACCCAACAAATCACTTCCTTCGAAATGTGAAGTTTGGTAAACACAGCAGTGGTTCTCATAGTGAGGTCCATGGACCACTCACACCAGAATGAAGTCCTTAATAAAAATGCAGATTTTTGGTCCCCACCTCAGACCTACGGAGTCCAAATATTTTAGGAGAGAGAGGTTCAAGAATCTGATTTCTAACAAGCACTATGCAAAACGAGGCACTATTTTAAGGCTTCCAGGAATACTGAGATACATTACTCTTAACTCTCAAGCCAGAATAAACTGTTTTAATTGGATTAAGGTTTTGGTCTCCAGGAGAAACCTCTGGAGATGCCCTTAACAGAGTAAATCTCCTCCATTTTGGGCCTTTGAAACTTTATAAGAACGTATTCCTCTAAGACTTTGCTCCTGTCAGTTCGCCCAATTCCCTGACATCTCCAAATGACTGCATCAGGAACTTTAAAATTCACCATGTATCAGGATCTGGAGGGAACATTTAAAAGTGACACCTACTTGGGCCCCAGATTTGCAATCAGTTGATGCATCCATCTGGAAATGTTTGGCCATAAATAATAGAAAACCTAACAGTGGTTGAAGTTGTAAGCACATTTACCTCCATTAAGGAGAGATCTGGCCGGGTGCAGTGGCCCACACCTGTAATCCCAGCACTTTGGGAGGCCACGAGGTCAGAAGTTTGAGACAAGCCTGGCCAACATGGTGAAACCTTGTCTCTAATAAAAATACAAAAATTAGCCAGGCGTGGTGGTGCACACCTGTAATCCTGGCTACTTGGGAGGCTGAGGCAGGATAATTGCTTGAACCCAAGAGGCAGAGGATGCAGTGAGCCGAGATCATGCCACTGCACTCCAGCTTGGGTGACAGAGCAAGACTTCAGCTCAGAAAAAAAAAAAAAAGAGAGAGAGAGAGAGATCTGTAGCAATCCCATTACTAGGGTGTACACTCAAAGGAAAACAGATCATTATACTAAAAAGACACATGAACTCATTCATCACCATGCTATTCACAATAGCAAAGACATGGAATCAACCTAGGTGCCCATCAGTGGTGAAGTGGATAAAGAAAATGTGGTACATATATACCACGGAATACTACATAATCATAAAAAAAGAATGAAATCATGTCCTTTCCAGCAACATGGATGGAGCTGGAGGCCATAATTCTAAGTGAATTAATGCAGGAACACAAAATCAAATACTGCATGTTCTCACTTATAAGTAGGATATAAACATTGAGCACTCACAAACATAAATGTGGGAATAATAGACACTGTAAGCTACTAGAGGTGGGCAGGAGGGAAGGGGTCATAGGTCAAAAAACTACCTATTGGGTACTATGTTCCTGACCTGAGTGCAGTATACCCATGTAACAAGTCTGCACATGTACTCCCTGTAACTAGAATAAAGGTTGAGAAAAAGAAGTGGGGGAGGTTCCAGGATTCACTTGGGACTTAGGGCTGCAAGATGGCTCTATAATTCTTCTGCCACTCCCCAGCCCCCTAAAACACATGGACATGAGCTGACTGCAACAGCACCAAACCTCATGGCCTCACACAACTGCTTTCAAAAGGTAGAAAGTAGGGGTTGAAGAAGCAACAGGGAGTTGGAAGCCATGGTGGTAAGATAGCTCTCTTGAGACCCTCTGTCTTTTGACCATGGAGCATCTAGAAAGCTTCACTCTATGTCTCACTGGCAGAACTGTGTCACATGACTCCCCTGGCTGCAAGAGAGTCTGAAAGAGTGAGGATCTATTGAAGAGAAATGTTTGGCTTACCAAACATGCTTTATCTTCTAGGGCATATCCAAACAAAATCGGGATTCTGCTAACATGCTTTATCTCTTAGGGCATATCCAAACAAAATTGGGATTCTGCTAGTAATAAGAAAGAGGGAATGCTCCAGATGAAATGGAGCAGGCCAAGCTCTCTAGGTGAGTCTAATAACACACCAGAGAAGGCAGAGAAACACAGGATTAAATGCCATTCATTACTCGTGGCCAAGGTCAGATTATCATCTCTTCCATGAAGTCTCTACTAGATCGTTTAAGCTAGAAGTAACCTTTCTCTTTGCCATTCCCCTACCATGGTAGGTCACAATTCTGACTGCATATTAGATTCACTTTTTCAAAAACCACCAATGCTTTGGCCTTACCCAAGACTAGTTGAATCGGAGTCTTTAGGAATGAGGCCTGGAGCATTTGTTCTTGGAAATATCCTCAAGGGATTTGAATGTAAAGCAAGAATTGAGAGCCACTGTCCTAAAATATTCTATCTCATCTCTTTAAAAAAAAATGGTTATACTAGTTGGTAAAATTAGGTTATGCTGCAACAAGAAATGTCTCCTAAACTCAGTGGCTTAATACTCAGATATTTATTTCTTGCTCATGCTACTTGGTAACATGGGTTGGCTGGTATCTGGTGCTTTGCTGATCTCTCAGTGCCTCAGCTGCCAGAATCTTTATTGCCATGTGTGCTTCTACAATCACCTCAGCCACGGGAAAGGAAGGTTGACGTTGAGCACTGGTCATTAAGTTATTTCACTTGGAAGTGACGGATCACTTCTGTCACCATTTCGTTGGCCACAGCAAGTCTTATGGCCACCTCTGACTTCAAGAAGATAGGGAAATGCAACTTTACCAGAAGGCTGGAAGGTAGAAAGCTGGAATTTTTCATGACTAGCAGTAAGGACTATCAAAATAAAGTTCACGGGGCTGCGTGTGGTGGCTCACGCCTGTAATCCCAGTAGTTTTGGAGGCCGAGGTGGGAGGATCACTTGAGCTGAGGAGTTCGAGACCAGCTGGGGCAACATGGTGAAACCTTTTCTCCACAAAAAATACAAAAATTAGCCAGTTGTGGTGGTGTGCACCTGTAATCCCAGCTACTTGGGAAGCTGAGGCAGGAGGATCACCTGAGCCCTGGAGGTTGAGGATGCAGTGAGCTGTGATGGGGCCACTATACTGCAGTCTGAGCTACAGAGAGACCCTGTCTCAATAAATAAAGTTCATGAAGTACACATAGGTATTTTATGGCTCTTTCACAAAAATGTGCTAATATATAATAAATACAAAATCTAAAGAAAAACAAGTAATATGTACTAATTACGAAAATTCAATTGTGCAGAAATGTGGAAAATAAGAAATGTATTTTCTGTTTTCTGCTATTGCCCTCATCATCTGATTCTCCTTTTCTCAATGATTATGACTTCTCCCAGTGGTTGGTGTGTATCCTTTCAGAGATTTTCTATGCATTATACACACACACACACACACACACACACACACACACAGTTTTTTCTTTTCCCCAAATATGGGATTTCCTATGACTGCTCCATATTTTTTTTTAACAATGTCCAGGTGATTCTAATGTGGAACCCTGTGAGATTCATGATGAATATGGATAGGAACCCCAGTTTGTTCCTGCCACAAACTTTCTAGCAAGTAAGCTTCTCCAGGGCAAACACATGTAGTTGAATCTGTAGTAAAATGAAACAGCTCTTGTAGCTGGCTATGCACTGGAACTACTTAATGAGCAGGAGCTACTGGGCACCCTCTCAAAGAGTTGTTTTAAGAACTGAAATTAATAAACATAAAGTAACTGGCAACCAGTAAGAGCATATAGAGACATATGCAACTAACTGGGATAAAACAATCTGAATGTCAAGGCCATTAATGGTATGTGCATCTTGCACAGATAGTGACACATGGTAAGTGCCCAAAATATGTGTATGGAAGAAAGGAAGGAAGGAAAGGAGGAGGGAAAGAAGGAGGGAAGGGAAGTATACGGAAAGAAAAAGAAAGAAAGAATTATTCCAGAGAGCAGTATAAATGTAAATGCTGACTGGTGTGAGTTATAAGATTTTAAGATTTCCTACAATGGGAATGTGTGACAAGACAGAGGGAGGTGGGTCATGAACTGAATGAAGGAGAGGAGAGGGGTGGATGCCAGGAATGACTCCAAGTAACTGGGTAGATGGTGGATGGAACACTTTTGTGGAGCAGGAAGTGTGTGTATGGTAGAGATGTTTATTACCTGGCTCTTCTTAACTTGAGTGACATATTTAGATGGGGGTGGCTTTTATGCAAGGGAAACTACATGGATGAGGGCACAGGAGATGGTGGAGTTTCTAGGATTGCAGAAAAAGTAGCTAGTTTATAGTGGAGGCTGGTTAACATGAGGGAAAATGGGAAAACAACATTAATCTTACATGTAGAAACAAGTAGAGAAGGATTGTACTAATTAGCCATATTAAATGCATATAAAATGTTCACTTCTTCATTCTTATGAGCCTGGTGGCAGGAAATAGAATGTGTGTGTTTTGGCAAGAAATGTGCACTGCAGATCATAATCTCAGAAAGAAAGATAAAACTTTGTTTATTGATTGGGATTCTGTTTACTCTTGTATTGACCAGGCTAATCATTTAAATGTGATGCTTTATCTTGATCTGAACCCATAAGTAAACAAAATATGTTTAAATTCTGTAATTGTATCGCATATCCCATATTCTACATTTTGTAGTGGGGGATCAGGTAAGGACTATGTAACCTGCACTCAAGCAAAATGATTTTACTTAACCAAACTCACTGGCTGAATGACCTTGAATTAGTTATTTGACCTCTCTGTGCTTCTGCATTCTCATCTGAAAGGGGGGATAGTGATAGACCCTACTTTATTGGGTGGCTAAGATAAATAAGTGAGCTAAGTGTAAAGCCGTTAGTGCAGTACCTGGAACAGAGTTAAGTGTTTAATAAACACTGGTGCTTATTGATTCTCAGCAAATTTCACCATTAACAACTGAAGTCTATTGAGAATGACCAATTCATGAATTTGTTCCATGTCTGTACCTGACACAGATATTAGTTACTGTTCACTTCTAATCCACTTCCAAGAAAATCTTGTAACTGGAAATAGTTACTCCTTTACCTAACCTGGAAATGGGAACTTGTTCTTCCAGCACTCTCTCTGATTCCCCTCAAGTCTGATTCATTATCAGGAGGTGCTGCTCAAAGTCTCTTGGTTAGCTTGCCTCATTCATTCATTCATTCATTCAACCACTTACCCTAAGTCATAGCCTGTAATACACACAGAGATGCAAGAAATAGCCCCTGCCTCCCAGAGCTCATTGTCTAGTGGTGGAGGGAAGGAAGAGAAAAACAGTGACACCTCTGAGATCAGGGAAATGGGCAGGAAGCTGAGATCAGGGAAGGAAACTATGCCGTCTAAGGGAAGACGTAAAAAGAAAAGAAATAGCCAAGCAGTAGAATAGGGAGTGGAGAGACTGCCTCAGCTCAAGAATGTCCCAAGCCTGGGAACTGCAAATAGTTCAGTATTGCAGGAAAGATGTGTTAAAAGAAAAACCTTAGCTGAATTAAATTTAACAGAGTATAATTGAGCAAAGGATGATTTGTGAATGGGGCAGCCTCTTGAGCCAGAGGAGGCTCAGAGAGACTCCAGTGCAGCCAGGTAGTGGAAGAGTTACAGACAGAAAAAGGAAAGTGATGTAAAGAAAATTGAAGTGAGGTACAGGAACAGCCAGATTGGTTAGAGCTTGGCGTCTGCCTTATTTGAACACGATTTGAACAGTTGGCCACCTTTGATTGGCCAAAAACTCGGTGATTGACACAAGAGTAGACTACAGTCTGTTTACAACTCCATTTAGGTTATAGTTCACAAAGTATAGGGCAACCTTTAGGACAAACTTAAAATATGTAAGGAGGCAGCTTTAGGCTAAACCTGATCTAACAGGTGTATTTTGGTGAAAACATACAGGGAGAGGTGAAGTAGGAAAGCCAGCAGGGGGCACACACAGACCAAGAAAACCTGTCGAAGAGCCTGGTCCCAAGGGCAAATGGGGAGCCATTGAAGGCTAGCAGGGGAGGAGTGAACAGACTCGTTCTTTGGAAAGATGACACTGGCTGCTGGGGCTCCTAAACTAGGAGACTAGTTTAGGAAGCTGAACTGGTCATTCAACTCTAAAGTAGGGCAGTGGCATGAAGTGAATAGATTGAGATATATTTAAGGAGCATAAGCAACAGGACATGGGGACTGAGTGAGGGAGAGGAGCAGCATGGCTGCTAAGAATGACCCTGGGTAACTAGGCAGACAGTGGATGGAGCATTTTTGTAGGGTGTGGAGTATGTGTGGCAGAAATGTTCGTAACTATTAGCTGGCTCTTCTCCACCAGGCCACACATCTCTTTAAGTCAAATTTAAGAAGTGCTATTGATCTTGCTAGTAATTCTTACAGAAGCTTGAACCAGGGTGATAATTACCTGAAGAAGTAAGTTGGGCAAATTCCCCTGAAGGTATACTCTTGAAAGATAAGAAATAAGTCCACAGCCATTACCTACTCTTAGAGCTACCTTTTGTGATTACTTTTATATCTGGTAACAATTAGGAGCAGATGAGTTATTGGAGTATACATTCAGAAGATGCTCAACTTTCTGCACAATCTTGACACTCAATACAACAAGATGTATTCATCCCCTGCTCTGTATCACTTGCTTCTCTCAATGGGTTGAACCAGGTAAACATGGCTCTTGCCCTCATGAAACTTCCATTCTAACATAGAGTTCTGGTATCTTCTAAATGAAGTACTAAACCCTCCTTTCCTGTAGGGGTGCCTGAACAAGAATAAGAGTGTTATCAGTTAGGCATCACTGTATAACAAAATGTACTCAAAACCTAGTGGCTTAAAATAACAACCATTTCATTTGCTTAAAATGTTGCCATTGACAATTTAAGCTGGGCTCAGCTAGGTGGTTCTTATTATCTTGGCTGGGCATATTCTTGCATCTATGTTCAGCTATGTTGGGTAGGCCACTTTACTGATCCTGACTAGGCTGTCACACGTTTGAGGGCCTCAGCTGGGATAACTGTTCTGAATGGACTCTGGTCCACACGTGTCTCATCCTCCCATAGACTAGCCCAGGCTCTTCATGTGGCAGCTGGGAAGGTATCCCAGAGAGAATGAAAGTATACACAGTCTCTTGAGGTCTAGGCTTGAAACTGACATAATATCACTTCTGCCATGTTCTACTGGCCAAAGCTAGTCACAAGGTCCAGTCCAGATTCAGGCAGTGAGGAAGTAGGCTCCATTCCTTGATGGAAGCACTAGCAGAGTCTCATTGCAAGGGCCATGGGCACAGGGAAAGGAAGAATTGGGGTAATTTTGGCAATATACTCCAAGGACTCATCTGCTCCTAATTATTACCAGATGCAAAAGTAATCACAAAAGAGAGCTCTAAGAGTAGGTGATGGCAATGGACCTATTTCTTATCTTTTAAGCCAAACAGGAGACTTATTAAGACCTGCTCTTTCCCATAAGGGAATTTTCAGTGTCCCTTTTGGCTGCTGGGTCAGTCAACTTTTTCTATTTTAGTTTTCTGACTGTAGCTATCCTCTCCTTTTCAACCCCCAGGACAACAGCCTATGGTTCTCAGCACAGATGTCAAAGAAATGAAATGTCAGCGGAGTTCACTGTGACCCTAGAGGCCATTGCCTCCCCCCTCACTCTCCCATCTCCTCACAGTTGCCTTCAGCAGGGCTGGTCTCCACTATTAATAAACCTTCCCCTTCAGCACTTTCTCTCAAGGGGACAGTATCAGAAAGACTCCCATCTATCTTCCAGCCTGACTCCTGCCAGGCTGGTGAGAAGGTCTTCTGACGTGGAGATAAGAAATCCCAGACATGACTGCTGTGTAGGGGAAGCTCAGGAGTTCCATTTTCCTTATGAAAGGTCAAATCACTTCTTTTGCAGTGTTTGGAAAGAAAAAAGCTAACATAATGTGCTTTCTAAATGCCAATGATCTTGACATCCCTGATAAAGAGAAGTCAATGAAGGAAGAGAGTGGCTCAGTAGGAGAGCTGACTTCTAAGTGCCAGTGGAAGAAGTAAAACATTTTTAATAACTCACGTTAAAGGCTGTGGTTAATTCCATCCTGGGTTGTGGTAATGTAATTATTGCTGCTTTAAAAAAATCCTGCATGTTTGCAGTGAATATATTATATTTTATTGCAACAGTAATAGCTCTCCCTCAAGAGGCTGAGGAGGCAGGCAGGCCAGTCACAAACTGGTCCTATCAACTTTTCATTCCTTCTTTCCTTAATCACTAATCTGTTGAGTGGTCACTGTGTGCCTGGAACTGAGCTGGGATATAAAAGAGGTAACCAGCACAGCATTCGGCTCTTAAGGAACTCACAGTCTAATTGGAGAGCATGACCAGTCAACAGACAATCCTATAGAAAGTGATGCATGCTACCCCAGGAAGTGCAAGATGTTATGGCAGCATCCCCATTGGAGGGTATGGGGAATCATCTCCTGCAGTTCCTTCCTCAAGCAGTAGAGGCTCCATGAAGTTATGAGCTAAGTCCAGCACATTTGCTACTGGTATGCCTGGTGCCTGGCACTTAGAGGGAGCTCGTTCCTGTTTGCTGGTTGATTTGCTGGTGTGAATCCTATATTCTCCTTCCACAGGGCCATCACCCTTATGCAAACATTCCAAGCAGTTTTACAAATGTGACTTGGAAAATGTGCCTTAGAAAATACTGCTGTTTCTGTCTGGAACGTCTTTTTCACCATTTAGCACCTGGAAAACTTTTATGCACCCTTCAAGACTTAGACCAAATGCCCTCTCTTTTGCAATATATTTTCAGATTTACTGAGCAGAATTTATCCTCTCTTCATAATGGCTCTAAGCATCTTGTTTATATATCAAGTTTGCTTCTTATCGAAGGACTTTCTTATTGTAATTATTATTTTTTTTCCTTTGGAATACTTAAAATTGCATTTTATTTTCTGCCTCTATAGAGAGTAGCTTATGCCTTTTTTCTTTTATTATTATTTTTGATCAACACATAATAATTGTATGTATTTATGGGATACAGTGCGATATTTCAGTACATGTATACAATGAGTAATGATCAAATCAAAAGAATTAAGATATTCATCACCTCAAACATTTATTATTTCTTTGTGTTGAGATCATTTGAAATCTGCTCTTCTAGCTATCTGAAAATATACAATAAATTGCTTTTAATTATAGTCACTCTACAATGCTATAGAACATTGGAACTTATTCCTCCTATCTAGCTTGTAGTTTTGTATTTGTTACACAAATTTTAGCTACCTCCCCAGGTCCCCTCCACCCTTCCCCACCACCAGTAACCACTATTCTACTCTTTACTTTTCTGTAGTCAACTGTTTTAGCTTCTGTATGAGTGAAAACATGCAGTATTTATATTTATGTTACTGGTTTATTCCATTTAACATAATGTCCTCCAAGCTTATCCATGTTACTATGAATGACAGAATTTCATTATTTTTTATGTCTGAATAGTATTCCATTGTGTATATATCACATTTCCATTATCCAGTCATCTATTAATGGCACTTAAGTTGAGTCTATACCTTGGCTATTGTGAATAATGAAGCAGTAAACATGGGAGTGCAGACATTTCTTTGACATACCGATTTCCTTTACTTTGGATATATACCCAGTAGTGGGATTGCTGGATCATATGGTAGTTCTACTTTTAGTTTTTTGAGGAATCTCCATATTTTTGTTTTCTATAATGGCTATACTAATTTATTTTCCCACGAACAATGTATAAGAGCTCCCCTTTCTCTGCATCCTCTCCAGCATTTATTATTTTTTGTCTTTTTGATAATAGCTATTCTAACTGGGGTAAGATGATATCTCATTGTGGTTTTGATTTGCATTTCCTTGATGAAAAGTGATGTTGGCATTTTTTTTCATATACTCGGTGGCCATTTGTATGTCTTCCTTTGAGAGATGTTTATTTAGATCATTTGCCCATTTCTAAATTGAATTATTTGTTTCTTTTTTTGGTGTTGAGCTGTTTGAGTTTCTTATATATTCTAAATATTAATTCCTTGTTGTATACTTGCTAATATTTTCTCCCATTCTGCAGTTTTTCTCTTCACCCTGTTGATTCTTTCTTTTGCTGTGCAGAAGCTTTTAGTTTGATATAATCCCATTTGTCTATTTTTGCTTTTGTTGCTTTATGCTTTGGAAGTATTCTTCATGAAATATTTTCCCAGACCAATGTCCCGAAGCATTTCCCCCTATGTTTTCTTCCAGTAGTTTCATAGGTTCAGGTCTTACATTTAGGTGTTTAAGCTATTTTGAGCAAACTTTTTGTATGGTAGGAGATATGGGTCTGGTTTAATTTTTCTGCATATGGATATCCAGTTTTCCCAACACCATTTATTGAAGAGACTATTTCTTCCCCAGTGAATATTCTTGATTAAATTTATTTCTAGGTATTTTATTGTATTTTGTAGCTATTGTAAATGATATTGTTTTCTTGATTTCTTTTTCTGCTAGTTTGTTGGTGATGTATAGAACTACTACTAAATTTGTATGCTGATTTTGTATCCTACAACTTTGCTAAATTTGTTTATCAGTTCTAAGAGATTTTTGGTGGAACCTTTAGGGTTTGCTAAATATATAAGATCATGTTGTCTGCAAACAGAAATAATTTGAGTTTCTCCTTTCCAATTTGTTTGCTCCTTATTTCTTTCTCTTGCTTAATTGCTCTAGCTAGGGCTTCCATTACTATGTTGAATAAACATGATGAAAATCGGCATGTTGTCTTGTTCTAAGTCTTAGAAGGAAAGCTTTCAAGTTTTCCTCATTCAATATGATGTTCACTGTGGATTTGTCATACATGCCCTTTATTGTGTTGAGATATGTTTCTTCTATATCTAACTTGTTTAGAATTTTTATCATAAAGAGATGTTGAATTTTAACAAATGATTTTTCTGCATCTATTGAGATGATCGTATGGTTTTTGTCTTTCATTCCATTGATGTTACGTATCACATTTATTGATTTGCAAATGTTGAACCATTCTTGCACTCCTAGGATGAACTCTGCTTGATCATGGTGAATGTGCTGCTGGATTCAGTTTTCTAGTTTTTTTTTTTTTTAAGGATTTTTGTGTGTATGTTAATCAGAGAGATTGACCTTTGGTTTTCTTTTTTTTGTTGTTGTGTCCTAGTCTGGTTTTGATATCAGGGTAGAATGAGTTTGAAAGCATTCCTTCATCTTCAATTTTCTGGAAGAGTTTGAGAAAAATTGGCATTAGTTCTTCAAATGTTTGGCAGAATTCTGCAGTGAAGCCATGGGTTCCTGGGCTTTTCTTTGATGGGGGATTTTAATTACAAGTTTAATCTTGTTACTTGTAACTGGTCTTTCAGGGTTTCTTTATCTTCTTAGTTCAATCTTTGTAGATTGTATGTACCTACAAATGTATCCATTTATGCTAGGTTCTCTAATTTGTTGGCATATAGTTTTTTGTAATAGTCTCTAGTGACCCTTATATTTCTTTGATATCAGTTGTAATACATCCTTTTTCATCTCTGATTTTATTCTTTGGATGTTTTCTATTTTTTTCTTGGTTAGTCTAGGTAATGGTGTGTTGATTTTTTTTATCTTTTCAAAAAGCCAACTTTTCATTTTGTTGATCTTTTCATTGTTTCATTTAGTCTCAATTTTGTTTATTTCTGCTCTGATCTTTATTATGTCTTCCTATCTACTTATTTTGGAATTGTTCTTGCTTTTTTAATTCCTTCAGATGCATCATTAGGTTGTTTATTTGAAATCTTTTACTTTTTTGATATAGTCATTTATTGCTATAAACTTCCCTCTTAGAATTGCTTTTGCTCTATCTTGTAGGTTTTGGTATGTTATGTCTCTATTTTCATTTATTTCAATAAAATTTTTAAGTTTTTCCTTAATTTCTATATTGACTTTTTGGTCATTCAAGAACAAGCTGTTTAATTTCCATGTATTTGTACAGTTCTAGAGTTCCTCTCATTATTGATATCTAGTTTTATTCCATTGTGGTTGGAAACGACACTTGGTATGATGTCTACTTTTATAAATATGTTGAGACTTATTTTGTGGTCTAATATGTGGTCTATTCCGGACTATGCTCCATGTGCTAATGGGAAGATTGTATATTCTGCAGCAGTTGGATGACATGTTATATAAATGTATATTAAGTCAATTTGGTCTAAAATTCAGCTTAAATCTAATATTTCTCTGTTGATTTTCTGTCTAGACGACATTTCCAAAGCTGACAATGGGGTGTTGAAGTCCATAACTATTATTGTATTGGAGTATATCTACCCCTTTAGACCTAGTACTATTTGCTTTGTATATCTGGGTGCTGCAGTATTGAGTGCATATATATTCACAATTGTTATATCTTGCTGAATTGACCACTTTATCATTATATAATGACCCTTTGTGTCTGTTTTTACAGTTTTTGACTTAAAGTCTGTTTTTGTCTGATATAATTATGAAGGGGTGGCCTGCCCCTCCACACCTGGGGGTATTTCTAGTCGGGTGGGACAAGAGACTGAGAAAAGAAATAAGACACAGAGACAAAGTATAGAGAAACAACAGTGGGCCCAAGAGACCGGCGCTCAGCATACCAAGGACCTGCACTGGCACCGGTCTCTGAGTTCCCTCAGTTTTTATTGATTATTATCTTCATTATTTCAGCAAAAAGGAATGTAGTAGAAGGGCAGGGTGATAATAAGGAGAAGGTCAGCAACAAACATGTGAGCAATAGAATCTATGTCATAATTAAGTTCAAGGGAAGGTACTATGACTGGACGTGCATGTAAGCCAGATTTATGTTTCTCTCCACCCAAACATCTCAGTGGAGTAAAGAATAACAAGGCAGCATTGCTGCAAACATGTCTCGCTTCCCACCATAGGGTGGTTTTTCTCTCATCTCAGAATTGAACAAATGTACAATTGGGTTTTATACCGAGACATTCAGTTCCCAGGGGCAGGCAGGAGACAGTGGCCTTCCTCTATCTCAACTGCAAGAGGCTTTCCTCTTTTACTAATCCACCTCAGCACAGACCCTTTATGGGTGTTGGGCTGGGGGACAGTCAGGTCTTTCTTATCTCACGACGCCATATTTCAGACTATCACATGGGGAGAAACCTTGGACAATACCCAGCTTTCAAGGGCAGAGGTCCCTGCGGCTTTCCGCAGTGCATTGTGCCCCTGGTTTGTTGAGACTAGAGAATGGCGATGACTTTTACCAAGTATACTGCTTGTAAACATTTTGTTAACAAGGCATGTCCTGCACAACCCTAGATCCCTTAAACCTTGATTTGATACAACACATGTTTTTGTGAGCTCCAGGTTGGGTCAAAATGGCTGGGGCAAAGTGGCTGTGGCAAAACTACAAATTAACAACATCTCAGCAAAGCAACTGTTTAAAGTACAGGTCTTTTTCAAAATGGAGTCTTTTATGTCTTTCCTTTCTACATAGACACAGTAACAGTCTGATCTCTCTTTTCCCTACATAAGTATAGCTATTCCTTCTCACTTTTGGGTTTTGTTTGAGTGGAATATCTTTTTCTTTGCTTCACTTTCAGTATGTATGTGTCTTTAAAGGTGAAGTGAGTTTGTTGTAAGTAGCACATAGTTGGGTCTTGCTCTTGTTTTTGTTTTTAACCCATTCAACCAGTCCATATCTTTTCAGTGAGGAATGTAATCTGTTTACATTTATGGTTATTAATAATATGTAAGCACTTATTTCTATCATTTTTAATTGTTTTCTGGTTACTTTTTATATCATTTCTTCCTTTCTTCTTCTCTTAATGTTTATCATTGCTGTTCTGTGGTTTTCAGTAGTGATGAGGTTTGATTCTTTTCTCTTTCTCCTTTGTGTATTTGCTGTACCAGTGAGTTTTATACTTTTGCATATTTTCATAATAGTGATTATCATCTTTTTGCTTCCAGATGTAGGATTCCCTTGAGCATTTCTTGTAAGTCCAGTCTAGTGGTGATGAGTTTCCTCAGTTTTACCTTGTCTGGGAAAGACTTTATTTTTCTCTCATTTCTAAAGAATAGCCTTGCTGGCTGGCTGTAGTATTATTCACTTGCTTTTTTTTTTCTTCTTTTAGTGCTTTTAATATATCATACCATTCTCTCTTTTCCTGTAAGGTTTCTGCAGAGAAAATCTATTGTTAGTCTAATGGAAATTCTCTTATATGTGACTTGATGCTTTTCTTTGCTGTTTTTGTCTTTGATTTTTGACATTTTGATTATAGTGTTCCTTGAGGTGGACTTTTGGTTGATTCTGTTTGGGGATTTTTGAGCTTCCTGGATCTAGATGTCCATATCTCTCCCCAGACATGGAAAGTTTTCAGCTGTTATTTCATTAAATACATGTTTCCCTTCTCCTGTTTTTCTAGAATTTTTGCAATACAAAAATTTGTTTGCTTAATGGTGTCTCATAAGTCTCGTAGGCTTTCTTCGCTTTGAAAAAATCATTCTTATGTCTTTTTTTTTTCCCTGACTGGGCAATTTCAAATTACCTATCTTCAAGTTCAGAAGTTCTTTCTTCGCTTGATCAAGTCTGCTATTGAAGCTCTCCATTGTATTTTTTACTTCATTCACCGAATTCTTCAGCTATAGGATTTCTGTTTGATTCTTTTATTTATTATTTCTATCTAGTTTTTATATTTCTTATTCATATTGTGAATTGTTTTTCTGGTTTTCTTAAATTGTCTATCTGTATTTTTTCTCATTGAGTTTCCTTAAGATCATTTTGTATTCTTTTGGTTTTTTTTTTTTTTTTTTGGCAAATTTTTGATTTCTTTTTCATTGGGGTCTGTTACTAGAGAATTATCATGTTCTTTTAGTGGTGTCATATTTCCTTTTTATTTCATGTTTCTTGTGTTCCTGCACTGATGTCTATGCATCCGGTAAAACAACTGCCTATTGTAGACTTTCTAGAGAGCATCCAGTAAAACAATTGCCTCTTGTTGGCTTTCCGTAGAGAAAATCTTTCACTTGCAGTTGGGTTTTAGTGTGTCAGTTGGGAAGGGTGTGGTGAGTCTGTTTCCAGATAGGTGCAGTGGTATATTCTCGTTGCAACTTCTTCAGCTGTGTTCAATGTCAGCAATAATTGTGGATGCCTCAACAGCCTAGGCTGCAGAAGTTTGTAGTAGTGGCAGTAGTGGCACCGGTCGATAATATCCTCTGCATCAAGGATTTTTGGGATCTTTCTATCATCACTTTTCCCCAATGTGGAGACTAAAATGAGGGAATCCCTCTTGGTGTCAGATCTGATACAATCTACAAACCACTACAGAACGACTGGGTTCTAGGTGCAGGTATTTGGAGCAGCTGTGGAGGGGGCGGTTAGGCTCAGGGTCTCATGAATCTATTGTAGCACCTGGGTCTTGGGGTGCAAGTTTGCTCTCTGTGGCAGGGTTGGTTGTAAGTTGCCCACAGAGCCAGGATCTGTGACTCTGAGGCACCTCCTAGCATTTTGGGCCCAGGGAACTTAGTTGTAGCTGTGGTCATACCTCTGGGGGGAAGAGCACAGCACTTGCCTGGCACCAGTAAAGAAGGGGTGCTCTGGAGCTTTGGGCTCAAGGAGCAGAGCATGGTTGCACTTTAGGAACTGGAGACAATAGAGCTTAGTGGCAACTCAAATCCCAGGAAATGAAGCACCGCATAGTAGTAACTCTATACCCTTGGATAGCATAGCTGGAAAGTATCCCAGACTCTTTGAGGCCAGGTGCAGTGGCAACAAGTACCCTTGAACGGTGGAAACAGCTGTTTGGATCCTGGTAGGGACAGGGAACTACACAGTGATTCCTCTACTCCTCAGTGGAGTCAGTAGCTCCAACTTTTGGAAGCAAGTCCAGCTCCAGGAAAGCAGAATATTAGAGCTGCTTGGCCTAGAGGGTGGGGTGTCTCAGATCAGCCACTATTCTGTTTCCCTGGGATGCAGGGTACTACATCAGCTAAGCCCTGAGATGTGCAGTTTCTCAGCTCAGCCAGGGCACCAATTCCCCAAGGGGGGGATATCCCACTTCAGCTGAGGTTTCAGGCACCATTTCCCTGAGATTCATGGCACTGCTTCAGCTTAGGTACTGGGGTGCATAGCCACTCTGAGTTGCCAAGGTAGCATTTCCTGGGGTGAAAGGTGCTGCTTCAACTTAGGCACCAAGGAGTCAAGACTGCTCTGAATGGCCAGGGTACTGTTTTCTCAGGAGGCAGGGTGCTCCTTCATCTCTGGCCCAAGGGAGTTAAGGAAAGGGTAGGTGGAATGGCTCCACCTCCTTTTGGCCCCCTAGGGAAGAGTGTAGCAGCTGCTTGCAGCTTGGCTTGGAGATGTGCCACTGGGCTGTGGTGTCTTGGCAATGGCTTGGCCTCAGGGGTGGACGGGAACCATGGCTACTCACCCCTAGAACAAGACACACTCTAGCCGTGGTTACAACTCCAAGATGGCATAATGTAGTAGCCACATGGGCTACAGGGAGTGGGACACATTGCTGGCTCCTTTTCTAGAGGAATCCCAGCCATGCGGACTCCAAGTACTTTCCTCAGCCAGGCTTAGTGCTGGTGAGGACTACAGGGAACCTCAGTGGTGAGGTCTGTAGTGTCTAAGGTATTGATAGGAGTGACTGGGATCCTCTTGATTACCTCCTCACTGCAGGGAGAAGATCTTTCTGGTTCCCAGCTGATACTGGTTGGGGAATGGGGTGGTGGAGGCCCAGAATTTGTCTCTTTTTTACTTGGTCATCCCAAGTTTTTGTGCTCACCAGGGTTTCTGTCACTCCTCTGATGCACTGTAGCAATCTCCCTCAGTTATTTGTATTAAAATATAGTTGTTTATCTATTGTTCTGGCTGTGTCTTTGTGACAGGAATGAGTACTAGGGGCTTCTAGCTGTCCATCTTGCTGATGTCACTTTTCCTATAATTATTCATTTTTGATAAGTTTCTGTCTCCTTCACCAGATCATGAGCTTCTTTGGGGAAGGGTCCGTATGTTAGGAATCTCTGTATTATCTGTGCCTGGTCCACATAGCAGCTCAATAAATGTTTATTGTATGAATAAAAGATTGCATGCAATAATTGGGAACACAAATCAGTGGATGCCATAAGAATGGTCATATTTTCTTACTCATGGGGACAATAGGATAAAATGTGGTACCTAGTGAGGAGTACTAGGAGAAGGACCATCAAGTTTATTTTACTATCTGCTGCTGTAGGGATGGCATCTATTATCTTTTCTAATCTTAGGGGTAGAATGGAGGTCAAGGCTCATGTCTTAGTGCCATAGCCCATGTCCAAGGGCAGATGAAACATTTCCCTGGGCAGAGACTGTGGGGGACCCTTGATTGAACACACCGGACCTCCACCCCTTAGCCAAGCACAGTGGTATGTGTGTGCTTTATGTGCACAGTTCTCACAATGCACATTAGAAAAACCTACAAGCCCTACCTTCAAAATATTAGGCTGGTGCAAAAGTAATTGAAATTTTTGCCATTGAAAGCAATATTTCCAGAATCTCAAAACTTCTCACCATCTCCACTGATACTGCCCTGATCCAGGCCACCATCATGTCTTGTTTGAATGATTTTAATAGCCTCAACTGATCTCTTTGCTTCTGTCCGTATTCCAACCTCCATCTCATCCCCTTTCAGTCTAATCTAACCCCAGCCGCCAGAATGATCTTGTGAAAATAACATCCTTTCTCTGCTCAAAAACCTCCCATACTTTCTGTCTCACTCAGAGGAAAAATCAAAGTCCTTATGGTAGCCCTCAAGGTCCTACAGGATCAGCTCTTCGCCTCACCTCCTGATCGCATTTCTGATCATGCCCTTCTTCTTTCACTTTGTTCCAGCCACATGGACCTTTGTGCTATTCCTCTATTATGCCAAATGTGCTCCTGCCCCAGGGCATTTGCCCTTGCTACTTCCTCTGCAAAGATGATCCTCCCCTATATGTCCACGTGGCTCATTTCTTCATCTCCTTCAGGTCTTTGCTCAAATGCAATCTCATCAGATAAGCCTCTCCCAAGCACCCTATAGAAAATAACACACACCACATTCCCAGGAATTACCAATCCTCTATTCTGCCTGATTTTTCTTCATAACACTTACCACCACAGATATATATTTGTGTGGTCTTACCTGCCTCCTCCTGCTAGGCATAAAGTTTATGAAAGCAGCAGCTTGGGCCATGCCTAGCCACAATTGTATCTTCGGTGTCTGGCATGAAGTAGGTACTCAGTATTTGATAAATGAATAAAGGCATGAGGAATGAGCTCATTAAACCCACTAACCAGCTCTGTGAAGGAGATATCAGGAGTATGATCCCCTTTCTTAGATGGAGTGGTGGAAGCTCTAAGTGGGGAGAGGCTTGTGGAAGCTGCTGTCTTACTCAACACAATATTTGGCTGCAGGACTGTAGAGAACAGCTCCTTTGTACTGGCTGAAATAAACAGCAAGATTTTACAGGGAGGTACTGCATTCCTTATAGAACTTCCAGAAGGACTGGAAACAGGAAATGAAAGGCTGTCAAGAACTGCAGTGCAGGGATGTCACTAGGGTGTGCGGGTCCCAAGGTAAATGCTTACTGTGGATCTCCTGTCTCTGTAAACAATGTGCATCAGCCTAAAGCAGCATGTTGGCACCATTCTGTGGACCAATTGCACCCAGTGCCATTAAGGAAGTACCACACTGGCTAGCAGAGACTATCAGCTTACTAGGCCACAGTACCCAGAACAACTTTAATCTTTGGAGCATCTGGTTGACCCAGTACATAGAGAAAAGGGTCAGAGAGAATCATGTGGGGTAGAGCAGAGACTGGAGTTCACACACTTGGTCTGAGTTTGGGGTACCCTGCCTGGATGGCACTGACAGACCCAGCAGGTTTCAGGCTCTAGAGACAGGACTTAGAAAGTTTCCAGAAAGAGTAGAAGTATCTCCAAAGTGTTAATTCTGCTGATATGTGGGGTCTGGGAAGGGGCCTTGCTATCCCAGGCATGCTATCCCATGCTATTCCATGCTAAGGGAAACCTCTCTGTTTGTCTAGCAATAACTCTGTCACATGTTCCCTGGGCCCCAACTCTGTTCCTTATTTTATTCTTCTCTCTCTCAACCTGTCTGAAAACTGGTTTGTCTGAGGAAGGCACTCTTTTTTTCTCCCTAGCTCCCATGCTTATACCATTGCCAACAGACAGCACAGACCGACCAGCACCTCTCAATCCTAATTCCAAATTTCTGGGAAAGGTGTTTTGATTGGCCCACACAGACTAATAAGCACCTCTCAATCTTAATCCCAAATTTCTGAGAAAGATGGTTTGATTGGCCATCAGGCGTAAGTGCCTGGCCCAATCACCAGTGGCAGGGGGAGGGCTATGGTGCAAGATAATAGCATAACACAAATGCAGAGGAGGGGATGATGGGTAAGGGGAAATGCCCTCAAAGTAGTCACTGTAGCTCCAGCTTATTGACGGGGAGGGGAAAGCAAGGATTAATCCTGGATGTTCCAACATTCAAAGTCTATATCTAGAACAACAATAGTGCACCTGAACACCACCCTTCTTAGATCCAATTGAGGAGCTGACAGGGCCACAGAATTCTGGTGACAGCTGCAAGATTTTAAGAAGGGTGAACTACACACTGGATTGCAAATCTTCTCCGTTTATTTCTGCAAGTTGAAATGTGGGGGCCAAAGAAAGTTGAGAGCATTCTGCCTGGAGACATGCTGACATGAACAGCAGGCTACCCTCTGAATACCTGGATGCTGAATGCATGCACACACACATTCATAAAAATTGGCACATTACACTGGGGTGAAAGCAGGTTAATTGGGTTGCTTGATCCCCTGGGCCTACTCAAGGCACTTATTGCAGACTCTAACTGAGAAGGGCTTTGAACTGCTTAGAACTGAATATGCAGATGCTAGCATTAGCCAAGACTTCCAGCTCAGCAATTTTACCTCCATCTCTATAGGCCACCTGATGCTCAGTTGGGATGTGCTGAGGCAGTGCTAGGAGAAAACAAACAAACAAAAACTGTGCTCAGTGATTATTTAGGACCATGGACAGCAACATGTGTTTCCACCTCTCGCAGAAACTTAGGTTAGGCTATATCCAGGTTGTCAGGGAGCATATTCAAGCAGAAGTTGTGTGGCCACCTACCATAGTTCATGCACTTGGATTCCTATTTATTCATGTATTACATCCATTTGTTCATATATTCATTCTTTCTATCACACATCTACAGAGAGGGAGAGGGAAGGCTAGAGAACCTAGTCATCTGATGACTTCTGATGAGATCTACCTTTGTCCACCTGTCAACTCCTTCTACCTGGGTTAATATAATAAAATGTTCATTTATTGCAACCAAATAACTTGTTGTAAAGACAGCATTATTGGATGCTAGGGTGAGAGCGCCCACCTCATCCAAAAAAACAACCAGTCTTATCTCTACCCCACAGAGCTTTGGGTATAGCAGGTTCTATGATCCAAACATTGATATCATGGGTGAAGGACAGAGCTTGGGACTGGCCCTCATGAGACAAGTGTTCTAGTCACAGCCAGAAATGGGCTCACTCTGTCTGCCCACGTGGGTAGAGGCAGTCCCCATCACTTTGGGAAAGCAGATGTCAAGCAGCAGCAATAAATTAAACCCCAGTGGTGCTTGCTTTACTGAAGCACTCAATTTAATGAGTCTTTCTTTGACACACAAAATTCTACTTACTACTTCAGCAAATGTGACCTGTTTGGTGTGAATAATTCAGTGTTTTGCAGGAAGCCTGACTTCCACTGAGAATGCAGCACTGTCAAAGATTGTTAACTAATCCTATGGAGCAGAACTGAGCTCTGGTCCACTCTGAGTCAGAAATCACTTGGGAAAACAGTCTAAAAAGAGAATATAAATGAAAAATACTTCCCCCAACTAACAACAGAAACCACCCTCCCCCAAACTCTCCCAACACATACACATCAGTGTGCAGCTCTTCTCTTCTTAAAGCTTCAAACCACGCCTGGGGAGGTTTTGATCCAGAAGAAACTTCTGAAGATGCATTTCCATGCTAAATAAAGAATTTTAAATGGAAAAGTTCAGCTCTGGATGAATATGCTGGCTGTCTCTGTCCAGAGAAAGTGAGGGGTCTGGGAAAATGAGAAAGACCTGACCACTCACATTTCAAAGAAGGGGTTCTTTTCTTTTTGTTTCATCTGTCTAATTTTGGGTAAGTCACTTCCCTTCTCTGGGCTCATTTTTTTTTTGAGACAGAGTCTCACTGTGTTGCCCGGGCAGGATGGAGTGCAATGGCATGATCTCGGCTCACTGAAACCACTGCCTCCCGGGTTCAAGTGATTCTCCTGCCTCAGCCACCGGAGTAGCTGGGATTACA
Organism: Homo sapiens; assembly: GCF_000001405.40. Classification (NCBI taxonomy): domain Eukaryota; kingdom Metazoa; phylum Chordata; class Mammalia; order Primates; family Hominidae; genus Homo; species Homo sapiens. The sequence goes on from NC_000012.12 coordinate 108,005,929, forward strand.
GGTGTGTGCTACTACACCTGGCTAATTTTTGTATTTTTAGTAGAGACAGGGTTTCACCATGTTGGCCAGGCTGGTCTTGAACTCCTGACCTCACATCCACCACCTCAGCCTCCCAAAGTCCTGGGATTACAGATGTGAGGCACTGCGCTCAGCCCTCTGGGCTCATTTTTAAAATTAGAGCCTTGGATTAGAGATCATGGATTCTTAACCCAGAACTGGTTAAGGGCTGGTCCATGTGTGGTCAATGAAATCTCTGCAATATTGGGCAAAATTATGTTCATACATGCACTTGGGGAAGGAAAGAGGCCATGTAGCTTCTGTCAGATTCTCAGTAGTGTCCCTGGGCTCCAGAACTGCAAGACTCCTGGGCTAAGATGATTGCTCAGTCTCAGTTTGGCCCCAAATCGGGATGTGATCGTGATGTCTTCTGTGAATCTGAGCAGTTGTGTTCTGCACTTGGACTCCTTATGATGGGTTCTGAGGGACCCTGTGAGAACTTCCACCTTTCAAGCTTGAGAACAAAATTAGGGAGCCCAACTGCTGGATGCAGCAAGCATGTGGCTTTTATCAGGAGAGAACATATTCATTCATTTGTTTAGTCATTTATTCATTCCGTAAATTGTCATTTACGTATGCCAGCTGCTACCCACTGCCCACCTGGAACTCACAGTCTAAGACACAGGCAATGGAAAAACAATCATAAATGACTGTGATCACAAAGCATGGCAAGGGCTCTGAAGGGTCACTAAGCATTGTAGTGAGAGATTGTAAGAGGGACCTCTTTCTCCTTCACTGCCACATCCCATACATCCAATGAGTGAGTGACACACTGGTCTGCCTCTTCAATCACCATGGCCAATACCCTATTTCAAGTCCCCATCACCTTGCACCTGAATGTTACCAGAAAGGGGTCCCAATCCAGACCCCAAAAGAGGGTTCTTGGATCTCATGCAAGAGAGAATTCGAGGTGAATCCATAAAGTGAAAACAAGTTTATTACAAAAGTAAAGGAAAAAGAATGGCTACTCCATAGGCAGAGCAACCCAAGGACTACTGGTTGCCCATTTTTATGGTTATTTCTTGATGATATGCTAAACAAGGGATGGATTACTCATGCCTCCCCTTTTTAGACCATGCCTGACATTGCCATGGCATTTGTAAACTCTCATGGCGCCAGTGGGAGTGTAGCACTGAGGAAGACCAGAGATCATTCTCATTACTATCTTGGTTTTGGTGGATTTTGGCAGCCTTCTTTACTGCAACCAGTTTTATCAGCAAGGTCTTCATGACCTGTACCTTGTGCTGATCTCCTATTTCATTGTGTGACTAAGAATGTCTTAATCTCCTGGGAATGCAGCCCAGCAGATCTTATTTTACCCAGTCCCTATTCAAGATGGAGTTGCTCTGGTTCAAATGCCTCTGACACCTGCAGCTCTCTTCTTGGTTGCATTCTTGCCCATTGACTGAAATGGGGACATCCTGCAAGGGAGAGTGGGAGTGAGTAGGATCCAATCACGTGCTATGTGTAAGAATACAAAGTCAAACCAGCACAGTCCCTGCCCTGGAAGAACCCTCAGAAGCTCAGGAAAGAGAGTGAGAAGAGGGATGCTGAAGTGGTGGTCTGGCTACTCAAAGCAGAGGTGGGGTGGGGGTGCAGGGAAAGTACCTTCTCAAGATGAGAACTTTGAAGGACAATGTTCACTTGGATATGTAATTTACGGTACTGCAAAAAAAAAAAATCATACATTTGGCATCATGCTTGGCATTGCACAGAACAAAACATAATACAGCCAGTGCCTACACACTTATAGCTGATGCTGTTGATTCTCAGCCCACAACAGGATCCAAAACAGACTAAATAAAGCAAGCAAGCAACTCCAAACCCACAAACCAAGCAAATTAGGGGGTGATTACATCCATTTGTGTTTCAGAAGCGCTCCTTGATTTACAAAGGACTGTCTTTAAATAGCATCCCTGGAGTGTTTACAGATCTGTAACTGCTTGCTTGAAGGGCTGCAGGTAGAGAAGAAAACCAAAAACACAAGTTGTAGAATCCCTTGCCAGTTGAAGCCATCCTGAGGAGTGTATAACCTGATTCAAACCTATAAACATAGAGGGATCTATCCATGCTGTAAAGAGAAGCAAACCTGCAACCATCAACTCTGGGGAGCAGGCTGGGGTCTGAGTTCTTATCTGAGAAAATGCACATGAAAGATTTGTATGCACATGGCACATAGTAAGTGCACAGTAAACATCAGTTGTCATCATTATTCCCTATGTTCCAACACCAGCTGGCTGTCCTGCAATTCAATTCAATTCTGTCACTAACTACCTAGAGTTAGCACAGGTCCCATAGGTTAAGATACTCAGTCTCACAAGACTATCCTCACTTCAGGCAGTAACAGGAAATCCCAGGTGTTACCAGGCTGCCTACACTTCTGCTCAGCCAGCCATCAATTTAGGGGCTCTTATGACCCCCTTTCAGTTTCAGTGATTCACAAGAATGACTCACAGAACTCACTAAAGGCATTATATTTAACAATAGCAGTTTTATTAAAGAAGGCAACTCAGAAATACCCACATGGAAGAGATGTATGGGTCAAGATCTGGGAGTCAATGCAGGCGGAAGGAGCACAGAGATCCCATACCATCTCCCATGGAACCAGGGTGTGGCACTCTTCCGGCACATCAATGTGTTCATCCACCTAGAAGTGCCCCCAAGCCTTGCTGTCCAAGACTTGTTATGGAGGTTTCATTATGTAGGCATGATTGAGTAAATCATTAACTATGTGATTGAACTAAATTCCCATCCCCTCCCCTCTCTCCTCCCCAGAGGTGGGGTGTGGGGCTGAAAAGTTCAGTCCTCTAATTATGTGCTTGGTTCCTCCAGCAACCAGCCCCTATCCTGAAGCTACCTAGATCCCCACCTCTCCCATAAGTTGTCTCATTAGCCTAAATTCTGGTATGGTCAAAAGGTGCTCATTATGAATAACAAAAGATACTTCTATCACTCAGGAAATTCCAGGGTATTTTGAAACACTGTGCCAGGAACTGCGAATAAAGCAGATATATATTATTACTATATTACATTCCCTTAGCCATGCTATATCCTGCAAAATAAGGCTGAAGGAAGGTCTTAAGAGGTCAAACAGTTCACCCCTCTGCCTCTCGGTGAGCCTGTATTTTAATTATTGAAGACAGTTGATTATCATTTTTACACACACACAATCTAACAGAATCTTGCAGGCCAGAAAGCTTCCCAGTCAGTTCACTGTGGCCATACATTTCCAGATTTCCAGGGAAGCCTCACAGCCGAAAGCTTTCCATTGGGCTGGCCATCTCCTTTCTCCATATCGTCCTATATGCTTTTATTAAACCTCCCAATTTTCCTCCATATTCAGAAAGAGGACTGGCCACCAAAGTGTTAACTCTGGCCTGATCCAAGACAGGAGGAAAGGCAGGTCCCAAGTTCCACCACATTAGGATGCACTTCCCCATTGTACATGATTTTGGCTGCTCCTAAAATACTTCACACACATAAAGGTCTGTATCTGGAAGAATTTTCAGTTTTATTACTTTTGCTGAAGGTGTCTTCCCATGCTTAAAAATGCACTTCATGCTCTTTCCCTGCAATTACTCTGAAGTTACACAGTCAGTAGTGCATATCATCACAGGTACTATGACCCACAGTCTCCTCCTGACATTCTCCGAGGGCTTACTCATTAGGACCTCACAAAGATGTCACTGTCCTCTCTCATTAGGCATGTTTCTTCATGAAGAATATTCTCATGTTGCCTTCATTCACTCAATCCATCAATTATTATTATTATTTTTTGAGACAAGGTCTTGCTGTTACCCAGGATGGAGTGCAGTGGTGCAATTGCGGCAGGTCAGGTCTCACTAACACAGGTCTGCATAACAACTGTTTTAGCCCTGACTGAGTGGAGAAGTTAAACATTAAAAGCTGAAAGAGCCAGTGTCCTTATATAAAGGCTGGAATGTAACAAAAGCCCACCAAGAGTTTTGCCCAGGCCTTTCCTGGGCCTTGAAGCCTACAAGACAAGGAAGGAATTCTTAACAGGACCCGTTTAGGATTAAACAAGTTTTACTGGGTGTCTGAAGAAACTCGCTAGGCCTCCACAAACAAGTTTATTGGGGGTCTGAAGGAACTCCCCAAACCTCCATGATTTAGCAGGAGATAAGATAAGGGTAATCATTCCAGCACCTGGACCCATTTAGATTAAGCAAATTTACTGAGGCTCCTAAGGAAGGTCTTTAGGACTTAGATCTTAGTTATAGATTAAAAGAAGTTAATCACTTATGTCTTTAGGTAAATGCACACTTACACGTAGACATATAGCTCAGAAGGTAAATAAGCTCTGAAAAACTTTGTAACTGAGTTGGTCTAGTGATACTTTTCGGGCCTTCTCCCTGTAGCCAGTTACAGAAATAAAACTCTCTTCCTCCTCAGTTCATCTGCATCTTGCTATTGGGCTACGAGAAATATCAGCCTGACCCTCAGTTTGGTCCAGGAACACAATCACAGCTCACTGCAGCCTCAAACTCCTAGGCTCAAGCAATCCTCCCACCTCAGCCTCCTGAGTAGTTAGGTGTGAGCCACCACACCTGGCTTTTTTGTTTGTTTTGTTTTGTTTTGTTTTGTTTTGTTTTTGTAGAGATGAGGTCTCACTATGTTGCCTAGGCTGGTCTCAAACTCCTGGGCTCAAGTCATCCTCCTGCCTCAGCCTCCCAAAATGCTGGGGCAATCCATCAATTCTTTATTCATTCATTTCTGCCTTTCTCTGGATTGCTCTCTCCACATTGTCTAACTGGTAAACTTTTCAGCATTCACAATCCAGCTTAGATGTAACCTCCTCTGGGAAGCCTTCCCCGGTTGCCTTCAAGACATTTATGTAATGTAGACATTGATCTGTGCACCAGAATATATAATGTAGATATTGATCTGTGCACCTATCATAATCACTTATAATGTTATTTTCTGCATCATGTAACGGTCTTTAAAAATTTCCATATCTTTTTCCATTACAGACAATTTTCATTTTTCAACTGGGCCAGTGGTGCCTTTCCATCAATGACATAATGCATTATCACTCAAAGATAATCCTGTTTGTAACATTTGTTTCCAGCATTATATTCATTTCTCATAAATGAATTGCTGCAATTAAATATTAAACACTAGTATTTATCCTATATTTATAAAAATGGAATTGTCTTGCTCATGCAGTTCCATAGCCTGCTTTTTTTAACTTACAATGTCATGAGCATTCTTCCATGCCTTTAAGCATTCTTTTACGGCATCCACTTTATTGCCTGCCTAGAATCCCAACATCTGGATGTATCTTCACTTATTTGACAAATTCCCTGCTGCTGGAGGTTTCCAGTTTTTTTAGCACTGAAAAAAATGTCCTTGCAGCAAATCTTTCCTGTATTTATTACTTTTTCTTTAGAATAAATTCCTAAAAGTGGGCTTCTCCAAAGTGTATACTTAAGGCTTCCTCTATATTGGTAACTTGCCTTTTCTAGAAAGATTGTACCAGCCTGCATACATGTAAGAGTGTTCCTTCCTCACTCCTGTTCACCACATTCTTAAAACCAGGAGGCAGAAACTGAACAGGTGACAATCTAATGTTCAACACATAAATCTCCTTTGGGCAGGCTTTGTAGGTCTTATGATTAATGCTCAATAGCCACAGTTGACTCTATTTTATTTCTTTTATTTTATTGAATATATATGCAAATAAACTCAAAGAGATTTTTAAGTAGATTGCATGCATGTTTCCCATGGTTTTAATTCCCTCATTAGTTGCATCTTTTGACTCTCATGGGGGACTTGATTTCTTAATGTGTTCTATAATTTTTAGCTGTGAGCTCATCTTTAGTGGGATTTTTTTCTTCGGGATTCCAGGGACTCAAGATTGGAGAAGCTCATGGTACAGGCTTGATGTTTCCATTTATCTCAGGGGATCTTTTACCAACTTCAGCCTGAGGTGATCAACCCACTTGTATGCCATGAGCCTAAGCCAGTAGGTAGAGTTTTCTAGTGACACTTTCATGGATGGAAAGCCCTTTATGGTTCCTGCTTTGAGCTTTATAGATCCCTTCATGTGGATGCGACTCTGCTCTCCAGGCATTGGTATTATGACTCTCTAGGTTTATAAAGTTCTGATATCTCATGGACCATTTGGCTTATTTAGTTTTCTCTTCCTTTATGACACCTGGGCTTCTCTTTTCTTTTTATTTTTGATCCAAGCTATGTATTTGAAGCTTTTGATTCTACATTTTATCCAGTATTCCTATGTGTTCAGAGTATGAAAGGGCTCCTCATGTCAGCTCAGCTACTATATTGGCTGGAAGTCTCTGAGCTCTTCCTATACCCTTAGGGGTGATTCGACACTCTGATGATGGCCAGAGGCAGAAGAGCAGTTGAAACAGCAATCACCGCAATTGCTAACAATTCAACACAGGTAGGACACTTGCTACTACATGAATTAATGTACACATGGTTTACTTGCAAGAGTCACAGCCTTGTTATTGGGAGAAGAAAAGAAGAATGCCCCATGTCAAGAATTCATGCCTGAGCTCCTGGTTCAGTGTATACCTTTAGAACCACAACCCTAGAGTCAAAAACAACATTTAATATAACTATTCATTGCTGAGCACCGGGCACTGCTTAAGCACATTGCACAGATTAACCCATTTATTCATCACTCAAAATCTGCGAGATAACAATTGTTATTCCCATTTCACAACTGAAGAGACTAGTTCAGAGAGGTTGAGCAATGTGCCTGAGGTCACAAATGAAATAGCAGAGAAGGGGTTTGAACTCTGAAAGTCCAAGTTCAGATCTCAGAGTCCTGACCACTGTGACACTTGGTATGATTTTTTCCTTGTCTTTTGCAAAACATCCTTCCAAAATCCACTCTGCAACCTCCTTTCTTTTGAGATATCCTTAGTGCTCAGTCTCTGCTTCTTTATCATTAGACCCTTTCATCTAATTCTACTGACCCAATACATTCTGTTGCTACCAACAAGAGAAAACTTAAACCATCACCTCTCTTCTTCTTTCCTCCTTTCTCTCTGACTCTCCCTCTCTCTCTTGCACAGAACTACTTATGAGGTACACGTACCATGCATTCATTTTATTCCTGCACTTTCTTCTTTGTATTGTGTTAATTCTCCTTCCTGAGCAGTATCACCATCACCTCTCTGCAGCAGCTGGGTGAACCTCAAAAGGCTAAATTATCAAGCAGAATTTCCAGGTGTATTAGTTCTTTGCCACTTTTGCCACACAGTCTATGTGAAATAGAGACACCAGCTTCTCCTCCATGTCTATATAGCACAATCAAAAGAGGAGGCTTTAAAAAAATATGAATTCATTGGTCCCATCCCCAGAGACTTTGGTTTCATTGGTCTGGCATGTGGCCTGGACATTAGGAATTTGAAAAGCTCCCCAGGTAATTCTAATGTGCAGCCAGGGCTGAGAAACGGTAAAAAGAAATTAGTTACACCCAGGATTCTGTCCTGATTGCCTTCTAGTTGGATTTTGGCAGACATCCCACACTTTTTTCCCCTTATAACCTTAGAACTTGAGCATGCATAGAAATGTCTGGAGGGCTTGTTAAAACACAGATTCCTGGGCCCCATTCCTGGAGTTTCCGATTTATTAGGTCTGGAATGGTGCCTGAGAGCTTGCATTTCTAACCAGTTCCAGGTGATGCTGATGCTACTGATTCAGGAACTATCCTTTGGAGACCATTTTCTTGGAACTATTCTTGCTCTTTCAATGCCCCATCTAGGCACTATTCACTGCCATCGTTCAGAACGCCATGTCTCCTGTTCCTGTTTTCCTGACTTATTTTTCAAGGTCATGTTCAAGTCCTTCCTCCTTCAGGTCTTCCAGGACTAGTCTAGCTGGTGGCATCTCTTCCCTTCTCTGCACTACTGAGGCTTCTTCTCTTCTCTACCACTAATTGTGGTTGTTGACTAAAGGTAATAGATTTTAGAGCTAGCAAGTTTCTCAGAGTCCCAGCAATTCAAGACTTTGCCTTTAAACTGAAGGATTCTTTTTCTTACAAATGAGATCTTATTGCAAGTGGCAATATTTAAAATACATGGATGGGGTGAGGCTAGGAGACTAGGGACATCACTATTTGTTTCTCTTTCTGTCTGTGGGGTCTTGAGGTGCTTTGAAAGGCCACTTGGCTCCTGAGCATATAATTTGGAAACCACCCATAGCCTGAGTCTTCCCTTTACAGATGAGAAAACTGAGACTTGGAGAAGGCAAGTAATTTCCCCATGCATCCATGTGATATTTTTGATCACTGACTCTGTGCCAAGCCCCTTCCAGGCCCTCGGGGGATGGTGAACAGGATGGGCAAGCCTCTACCCTCATAAGCTTATATTCTAGCTGGGGAGACAGACAATGTATAAGTAAACACATAGATAAAATGATCACAGATTGTGATAATTGCTTAGAGGGAACCCAACATTTGCTAGAGTCACATGAGTTCAAGGAGGGTTTTTATGAAGCAATCTTCATTCCGAGTCTTGAAGGATGAGAAGAAACCAGCTAGGTGAAGAGCTGAGTAGGGTGGAGGAGGCTTCTCCTAAGCCTTGCTTGTAGGCCACAGTGAAAATTCTGGGTTTTATTCTCAGTAGGATGGAAAGCCAGTGAAAGTTTTTAAACAGAAAATGACAAGAGCTGACTTTGTTCCTCCTAATATTTGTCTCCTTGAAGACTTGGATGGACATTTATCTTTGCATTTTTTTCACTGCACCCCATGCAGAGTAAGTACTGAAAATGTGTCTTGATCACTGATTGCTCCCTTGAAATCAACAAATATTTATAAGATGCAGTTTCTCATCTTCTAGACAAGTGTTTTTTAATTCATTTTGGGTTTAAAACCCCTTGAAGTGTCTGTTCAGAGCTGTGGACCATTCCTTAGAAAATATTCCCATGTACACGTGCACATTATGTTTTGCATAAATAATTGATGAATGCCCTGAAGGCCAGGTTGGGACTTTGTACCCTGAGATACCTTGCTGTAGAATCTGCTGTCTTGATACTTTTCTTCTGAAGATCCCTGGTTTGGATGGAGATCATTACCATCTTAGATTTACAGTCCGATTATCTTATTATTTTTAAGTCCTGCCTGTAAAATGGGCTAATAAATGTATATGTCACAGGGGGAATTTAAGAATTAAATATGATAATGTGGAAAGGTATCCAATACCTAGGTATACCATAGATATTAATTACTTCCCCTCACTTTTTGGAGAGAAAGAAAGCATTTCCTTGTGAGGCAGAATCATGCAATTGTTAAGAACTTAACTGTGGTGATGAATAGATGAGAATTGAATCCTAGTTCTGTTTCTTACTCAATTTTCTCATCTGTAGAATGGGAACACAGATGTAAAGACACTTAGGATAGTGCTTGGCACCTGCAAGAATTTTTGATAATTAATTTCTGATAATTTTGATATGAATGGTGATATTAACATTGTTCATTCTATGTCACTCTATGTCTGCTTGGGTAAGGAATAGGAAGACTTCTAAGATGAATTGAAAACACAGACCTGATTCTAAGGAGGTTGGATTTTGGCAGTTTGGCTAGCCTGTGGAAAATGCTTCCAGAGTGTTTCCCTGTGGGAACCACCTCAGCTAAAGATGGGCTGATGTTCGTGAAATCTGCATCCCTTGCGCGGCTCTGCCAGCTTTCTGAACCCAAGCAAATCGGGGGAGAATAAAATTCCTCAGGTATCAGAAATGGAACTGCTTTTCCCTGGGAACACTTGGTAACGTGGAAAAGATGCAACACCAAGAGAGGGCATAAAACCAACGAAATGAGGCCAATGCATATGCAAGAGGCTGCTTCCTCCCCAATTTAATTCCATTTTTTTAAGTAATGATGGAATAAAAATTCAGGGTGGTGGAAGATGAGATTTGCAGCCCTATTTGATCAAATGCCTATCGCTGTTGCTTCAAGCCAAATGGGTCGCTTCATAAACAGATAAATAAATCAGACATCAATGGGAAATGAAAAGTCATGGCCGAGAATGAAATGAGATAGAAATCATTCCCCGCTATGATGTTTGTTTGGGGCATCTCTGGTGGGGAAGTCATACCAAGGCTGCAGTGGGAATCCCAAAGTGCCCAATGGAGGATTATGATGGAGTGGGGATTCAATCTGATAAGCAAACCCTTATTAGGGAGCCCCACTTACCTAAGCCAAGCTTGTCCCAGGGAATTGCGAAAGGCCAGCAATTGATCTTCCACTATTAGGGCTCCATTTGTGAAATTAACTAGGCGGTGTGGGTAATAATTTATGGGGAATCATTAACCTAATGATATTGGTTCTCTATAAACTGCTTAGCCTGTCTCAGGGAAAATGGATTTCATAAATCTAGGTGGAAAATTCCAAGTGACTCATGGAAGGCTTATCAGCAGGGTGGGGATGGGTCACCAGACAGTGGAACTCTGCACTTTTGGCTTCGTTGAAGGGCCTTGAAGATGGCTCCTTCACTTTCTTTTCTCTGCTAGCCCAGGTAGACCCTTAAATTAAGACAGGAAGTGTCCAGGGTTGAAAAGCACATGATGGAAAAAGGTGTGTTGATTTTCCTTGTCTTGAGTTTTAAATCCTGCAAGAGACCTGCTCTGGGGATTTTGGCAAAGGGGAGAAAGTGACATCCTCAGTGCAGGAAGTTTCTGAGCTGCAGAAATCATATCTTTCCTCATCTGGAAAAGAATCAACCTTAAAGCTTTAAACAAGTCAGCTTCTGTATCTGCCATATGCCAGGTGGGGAGTTCTACCACCTTGGATGGGGTTGATGGGGAAGCTTTGAGAAGGTGGCTTAAGGCACTAAATGATGAGGTGGAACCAGCATGCCAGGGTGGGAGGGAGGGGCGCTTAGGGATGGATAGCAAGGAAAACTCAAAGTCCCTGAGGTCAGAGCAAGTTTTGAGATCAGAGAATTTATTACCATAATAAGGTAATATTTATCCCCATTTGCAAGATGGGAAAAGTGAGGCCCAAGGAGATTAGGTAGATAAACCTCATCCTACACTAAAAGATGGGCAAACTGGGATTTTGCCCACGACCACTGGCTAGTTGTCAGCAAACTAGGGCTCCTGGGTCAAGGCAGGCCTTCTTCTGTTTTTGTAATAAAGTTTCATCAGAACACAACCATATTGTTAAAACAATTTACATATTGTTTACAGCTCCTTCATTGCTACAGGCAGAGTGGAGTTGACATAACTAGCCTGACAACCCTAAAATATGTTCTTTCTAGCCTTTTACAGATCAAGTTTGTCCTCCCCTTCACTAGACAGTGATGCCTTTGCCTTTTGTGGAAGCAAGTGGCAATCCTATGGTCCCTGGGAATATGTATCATCCAGTTCATTGTGTGTATCCCAGAAGGAAAAGGAAGAAGAGGACAAGAAGGAGAAGAAAATGAACACATTTTTCAGAAGGGAGAAAACAGAGTTTTTTGAGAGAAGAAACATCCCTTACAAGTGGGCAGAAGATACTGATATCCAGAAAGAAGCATTTGATTCTTAGGCCCCTGGGGTTACCTGTGATGCAAACAATATAGGGATGGCCACTTTAAAGCATACCAGATGAGAAGCAGCACTTGGGTTGAGAACACCAGCGGGTGTCTCTGTCAGCAGCAGCTAGGCCTGTGTGTCTCATTAGCATGAGGGACACATATGGAATCTTGGCATTTCCCCAAATACTGTCAGGGGTTGGTCCACATGACAGAACCAGCCCAGGATGATAGGGAAGCTGTGATGGTTTTCTCCAAATGCATGGATTCAGAACTGAGTGGAAGGTATCTTCCCCACAGTGAAGCCTTGCTTAAAGAGGATTCTCCTTCCCGCCTTCTGCTGGCATTACAGCATTGCATAGGGAAGCAGAACTCCTAGCATTAGGATTAAACCCTCCTGGGTTTGAATCCTTGATCTAACTGCCATGTTAAATCATCTAACTGCCATGTCAAATCATCTAACTGATTTGAGCAAGCAACTTACCTCCTCCGAGTCTATTCCTTCATTTGAATGTGCAGATAATAATAGCACTTGCCTCACTGGGTGTTATTAAGGTTAAGTAAGAGAAATAAAAAACATGTGGCAGTTGGTCATTTAAATTCTTGTTCTTGGTGGCAAAGGCTGCTAATATCGTCTTGTTCTCCATGCTCCATTATGCTTGTCTTCTTAGTTAGGGTGGGGAGTTTAGGGTTAGGGTTAAGAATAGGGCTGTAGCCTCGTCTTCTGTAATAAGAGAATCTCTGATTTTGAAACTGCTAATAAAGACTACATTTCCCAGTCTCCTTGGAGTTGGATGTGGCTGTATAAGTAAGTTATGGCCAATGAAGGACGGCGGCAAAAAAATTTGAGGTCATTTCTATCTCTATGCACCCCTGAATACCTAGAGCTTTGAGGTCCTGTCCACCATGGACAAATACTGCCATCATCTGTTTGCCGATTTGCAAGTCAATCTAAACTATGCTGTGTTTATTCCATTTTAAGTAGTAAATGCTCTTGTCAGGATTCATATATATAATATAGATAAACATTTTAATGATAATGTTATAAAAATAACATAATGCTACATATCATCAAAACCTTACAAGTTTATATTCTTCTGTTCTGTTAAATATGAGATGATGTATTACCAAAAAGAAGAACCATTTGTATGTAATACTTCCAGGATGCCTCTTCCTTTTCTTCTTTCCTGGAGCTGAAAGGTAAGCATGATGGCTGGGGCTGGAGCACCCATTTTGAGCCATGAGGAGGAAGCCTCATGTTGAGGTGTCAGAGTAACATGCTAAAAGGAGCCTGAGTCCCTGAACTTCTTAACTCCAGTTTTTGATTCCATGAGAGAGAAATAAACTAGTGTCTTGTTTAAGTGATCTCTAAATTTTGCATTTTCTCCTAGAGCAGAATTAATCCTGGTATACTAGTTGTGTGGGCATGAGTAAATTTTCTTAAGTTCTCTGAGCCTCAGTAACCTTATCAACAAAATCAGTATAAAAAGCCCTAAGCCCTCAGAAGTGTTATGAAGATTCAAGGACACAATGTGGTGGTCTTCTGCTGCCTCAGTAACATTTTATAATGCTCTTGAAATACAGATCTTCACACCCCACATCTAATACCAGGTCTTGTGATGGGGCCAAAGAATGTTCATTTTTGTCAAGTTCCCCAGGTGACGTGACACCAAACCATGTTCAGGAAGCTTGGAGTTGAGAGATTCATCCTTTCTTCCTTGCTTTCAAAGTTGGAGTGAACATTAAGAGATGCAGCCTGCACATGTCCCATAAGGAGCTCAGCCTCTCTAAGGGGGCCTTACAATATCTCCTGCCTGCTCCAAAATACCCTGCAACAAACATCCCTCAGCCCTTGCTTTCCTTCTCCTTACTGCACGTGTGCCCCCAGCAACCACCAACTGCTTCATCCCATCTGAGCGACTTACTCTGAAATTCTGTTTAAAATGCAGCAGCATCAGTGGATTATGGCTTGCTGGTTTACATGCTTGTGATGAATCTTTTAATCTAATTAAGGAAGGCAAGATTTGCCCTGGATGCTTTCAACTGCACAGAGCTCTGGTTTTTAAGCACAGTATACTGGATGAAAGCACTTTTTTTTAGGGCCAGGAAAACCTGAGCCCTAATGTTTGCTGTGTAGCCCTGAGCAAATCACTTAACCTCTCTAAAGAGTCAGTTTCCTCCTCTAGGAGCTAGGCTTTGGGCCAAGCGCTATGTATACATAGAAAAATCCTCCAACAACCTGATGAGGTAGGCATCTTCATTATCCCCATTTTGCAGATGAGGAAATGGAGGCTCAGAGACGTTAACTACATTGCTCAGCTCACATAGCAAGTAAGTGGTATAAATTTAATAGAAGAATAATATCTGACGGGTGGTCTATTCTAAGGACAAACTAGTTGAGATCCTCTAGAAAGTTTAGCATGGCTGTTCCCCAGGGAGTACACCACTTGCTGTTGTAACAATAGCTGCTGTTACTGTCATTATTACATGGTTGCCCTCAATGGAAGAGGCAGGGGATCCCAGGAGCATGAGGCCAGGCCATGGAAAGCAGCATTCCTGTTGCAGGTGGAGGAGCCCAGGAAGCAGAACAAGACCAACTGGTGCATTCTTTAGGCCCACAGACCCGTCTGATCTGGATATGGGCTGATGTTCCAGGGGATGGACATCTCGTTAAACATGGTCTCTTGGTTCTGAAAGTCTTGGTGGTGAAGACCCTGGTTTTTTGGTGATTGCCTCAGTTACCTTCATTCTAGCCACATTGGATTCCCTAAGGTGCCTGAAGCCAGGCATGTGCACTCTCTCCTTCTTGTTGTTTCTCTGTGAGTCAGGATTCTCGGGAGGAGAAGAGAAACACTGGGGTGGCCAGGGGAGGTGAGGGAAACTGAAGGAATAGAGTAAAAATTGCAGAAGACGTAGTTACAGTTTTTTTTTAATCTGATATTTGATTAGGAAAATGTTTAAAGTTAAAAGAACATCCCAATGATCAGCTGACCATAAACCTAAAATCTACTGCTAGCATTTTACTGTACTTGCTTTATTATGTCTCTTCATCCATGATGCTTTTCCAAGAAAATTTCAGATGTCTGTAATAAATATTTCAGCATTTAAAGAAAAAAAAAACTTCAGAATTTGTTGTGCCGGTGAAACCTGCCTTGTCAGCCCAGTGTGTGTGGTTCAGATGGACTTGGAACCCCTTTGGTGGAAATGGAGGTGGGAATCAGGGCCCTTGAATTCCAGATCCACCTTCTCATCTGAACAGATCCTCAAGACACTGCGACTCTGAAGAGTATAGTCTGAAAGTCATTAATGTGGTCCAAGTTACTCATTTTAAGGAAGAGGAAATTGAGGCTTGGTTGGGTATGGGAAGGCTTATCTCAAGTCATTTATTAATTCATCAAGGATCTGTTAGAAACTGACTCCAGAATTCTTACACAACCGCTTTGATAATTTGATAAATGTGGTGAAACTTTGCCCAGAAAAGTACACATACAGAGGATGGGTGGGAGTCGCAGACCTCTGAATCCATTCATGTTTATGATCTCTGAATCATTAAGGTCCATTTGTGGACACTTCAGCCATGTGGTCTCCACAAGATGCTGGGGGCAGAAGTTGTCCCTCATCTGGAGGCCCCTCAGACTATTAGGCCACCTTGCACAACCTTGCTGAAGAGAGTGTGAGAGGAGAGAGGTGGAAAGATGACTGGGAACAGTCGAGAGAGAGAGAGAGAACAGAGAGTAGAGAAACACATGGAGAGAGAGAAAGAGAAACCTCCATCACTAGCAGACTCAGGGCTGGCAAAGAGAAGAAAGACTCACTTGGAAAGCAGCTGCCTGTTGGCCCTGCCCTCTGGCAGCCTTCTAAACTGCTCCCATCCTGCCAGCTTTCTGCCAATGCCAAAGCAAATATTCTCAGATAAATGCTTGGAACCTAGAAGGTGGGAAAGGATTGCCATCTCCAGCAGCAGCCCAGCCATCACTGGCTCTCAAAAGCATAATCAATTTCACTACCTTCCTCCTCCTGCTCCTTCATCCACTGTCTCTGAATCTAGAGTTTCCCATGGGAGCAGGCTCAGTGGGAGAGGCACTGGCCCAACACTTGGGGACTATTCTTCATAGGACAGGAGCTGGAAAAGAAGGGGTTTCTAAGCAGCCCTGAGTGGACTCTTGGGGTGAGGGGGTTAGGGTAGAGTGGCCCATGATTCCAGAGAGTGTGACCAGATCCCAAAACCCAGAAGAGCAAGTGAGGGCAGGGGCAGAGAACAAGCCTCTTGTCTGAGCTCATCTGCTTAGTCAACCTTCAGAGCACAGGGAGGGTGGTAGAAGGGGTTAGATTCAACAGACAATGAGAAAGCAAGAAAACAAGAAAGCATTATGGTGGTCAGGGAGGTGGCTAAGAACTTGGTCTGTGGAGTCCCTCCCTCCTTCCAACAATCTGCCCATCCGCCCATCATCCACTCACTCATCCATCATTCCATCCATTCTCCCACCCACTTATTCATTCCTTCTCTCATCATTCATCATCAACTCGTCCATCCATCCATACATCCATCCATCCATCCACCCATCATCCATGCATGCAGCCATCCATCCATCCATCCATCATCCACTCATTCATCCATCATCTACTCATCCATCCACTATCTACCCATCAGTCATGCACCCACCCATCCATCCATCCATCCATCCATCCACCCAGAATCTGCTCACTCATCCATCAATTCATCCATTTTCCCATTCACTTATCCATTCTTTCTTCCATCATCCATCATCCACTCATCCATCCATTCATCCATCATCCATGCATGCATCCAATTATCCATCCATCCAACCATCCATCTGTCATTCACTCATCTACCCATCATACACACATCCATCCATCCATCTGCCCATCATCCACTCACTCATCCATTTCCCATCTGCTTACCCATTCTTTCTTTAATTCATCCATCATCTACCCATCCATCATCATCCATCTATTATCCATGCGTCAATCCATGCATTTATCCATCCATCTATCCATCCATCCATCCATCCTTCCATCATCCATTCATTCATCTACCCATCCATTTGTAATGTTTTTTTTGTTTTGTTTTGTTTTTTGGTGTTTTTTTTTTGAGATGGAGTCTCACTCTGTCACCAGGCTGGAGTGCAGTGGCCTGATCTCGGCTCACTGCAACCTCCACTTCCTGGGTTCAAGCAATTCTTCTGCCTCAGCCTCCTGAGTAGCTGAGACTACAGGCATGCACCACCATGCCCAGCTAATTTTTGTATTTTTAGTAGAGACAGGGTTTCACCATGTTGGCCAGGATGATCTCGACCTCTTGACCTTGTGATTCACCCACCTCGGCCTCCCAAAGTGCTGGGATTACAGGCGTGAGCCACCGTGCCTGGCCTGTAATTTTTGTTTTCATTAAGATAATTCATGAACATAGTTTAAAAATTAAAATAGCATACAAAGGCTTATAATGAAATTCAGAAACTCCTAGCTCCTTTTACTCTTCCTACATCTCTCAAGGAGTGGGGAAAAGCTTTCAATCTAGAGAAGATGGTCAGGAAAGACCTCTCTGAAAAAGGGATACTTCAACACAGATTCGAATAAATTGATGAAGCAAACCAGGCAAATATCTGAGGGAAAGGTGGGCTATGCAGAGGGAACAACAAGGGCAAAGATTCCAAAGGTCTGAGTGAACCTGCAGAAGGGACACAAGGCTGGCGTGGCTGAATCCCAGGGGGTGACAGCAAGGATGGTGGGGCATGAGGAGGGGTGGCAGGGGCCAGAGCACACAGGTTCATGTAAGCCATGAGAAAGACTGGACTTTTCATTGTGATTTGAAACTTAATCCAAGACTAAGTAGGAAAGGAATGCACTTTTATTTGTGTTTCTATTTCTGTCCGATGAGAGTGGACTGGAGTATAAGGCAAAGGAGTGAAAGCCAGTTACTCTGGTAAGAGATAATGATGGCTTGGACTAGCATGGTATAAGTGGACATGGAGAGAAGTGGATAGATTTATAATATGTCTTGGGATTGTTGCTGATAGAATTTAATGCCTAATTAGATCTAGGATTGAGAGAACCAGAGGAACAAAGATAAATCTCAAGCTTTAGCTTGAGCCATTGAGTAGAAGGTGAAGCTGTTACTGAGATGGAAGACTCTTGAATGACTAAGTTCTTAGAGAAATTGTCAGACAGACCTGGGTTCAAGTCTTAGCTCCACCTCTTTCTAGCTGTTTTATCTAGGGTAGGTCACTGCATCTCTCTAAGCCTCAGTTTCCTTACCTGTTAAATGGGTATAGTAAACATACCTACTCCACAGAAGTTTTGGGAAGACCAAATGAAGTTTTGGATGGAAAGTGCTCATCCTAGTGCCTGTCACATAATAGCTAGCCAATACATAACATCTGTCTTTATTAAAAAATTAGAGGGGCTTGGGGAGATGATAGCGATAGAGATAGATAGATAGATGATAGATAGATAGGTAGATAGATAGATAGATAGATAGATAGATACATAGATAGATACATAGATACACAGATACATAGATACATAGATAGATATAGATGATAGGTAGATAGAGTATATGTATTGTTTTGCCCTCATGTTCAAAAGCCAGGCAACCCTATCAAATCTACTCATATTACCAGCTTTTAGTGGTTTCTGGTATTTTCTTTAAGTGGTTTCCTTTAGGTTTCCAGCTTTTAGTGGTAACTGGTATTTTTTCTGCTACCCTTACCCTTGATGAGAGGGTGGGAAGAATAGGTAGACAAACCCTCTCCTTCTGCCTGGATGGCATTTCCTATGATGCTTAGAGAAAACCCAGTGAGTCATGTCCTACCACACATATATTGATGGGAAAATGCTGCCAAGACCAAGCCTTGGGTCTACAGATCTTGCTCCAACTCATCAAAGCAATTTTACATGTTACGTTATTTGATTCTCACGAAGACCTGTGAAGTAGGAATTATCAGCCCCATTTGACAGATAAAATGGAGGCTCAGGGAACTTAAATAGATTTCATAAAGTTAAATTCTTAGAAAATACTGGGACTGAGACCTTTGGGCCTTGGCTTTTATATGGGTTACATATGTAAACTGTGGACCCAGTGATTAATCCTAAGGAAATCATCTTGAATGTGTACAGAGATTTAGTTACAAAGATGTTCACCACAGTGTTGTTTCTAAGACCAATAAGTGGGGGAAAAAAACCCTAAATATTTGATCTAATGGTCAAATAAATAGAGACAAGGGGAATGAAGGCATGATACTGTTATCTATCTGTCTATCTATCCACCCATTTATCTTGAAAGCAATACAGATCTTTACTAAAGCCTCTCAAGGGACATCAAATGCAACTTTGTAATCCTTAGCAAACATTTAAAAAATCATCTTTCCGTATTCCTGTTTTCTCACATCTTTGTCTTTTTAGCAGACAGGGTCTTATTTTGCTGCCCAGGCTGGAGTGCAGTGGTGTGATCACGGCTCACTGCAGCCTTGAACTCCTGGGCGCAAGCAATCCTCTTAGCCTCAGCTTCCTGAGTAGCTGGGACTACAGGCACATACCACCACCCCTGGCTAATTTTTCTATTTTTTTAGAAACAGGGTCTTGCCATATTGCCTAGGCTCATCTCAAACACCTGGGCTCAAGTAATCCTCCCACCTCCTGAATAGCTGGGACTACAGGTGCATGCCACCATGCCTGGCTAATTTTTATATTTTTTGTAAAAATGGGGTTTCGTGTTGCCCAGGCTTATCTCGAATTCCTGGCCTCAAGCAATCAGCCTGCCTTGGCCTCCCAAAGTGCTGGAATTACAGGCATAAGCAACAGCACCAGGGCATCTTTGTCATTTTCTTGATACTTCTTTCTGAATGACTGCTTTTTCTGACACCCAACTGTCTTAGTATCTTGCCTTTGCTTCTCCTTTCCATTTCCTTCCACCTGTATTTTTTTCATCTTATAAAAATGAGAATTCCCTGTCTTCTATTACCTAGTTATTTCTATACCAAATATTGTATCATAAAAACTCAGGAACCCAGAAGGTTAAGAATTCTCTCTGTTGGGAGAAGAAGGGGAAATGTTAAAGGGGCAACCACCAAACTGTCTTTAGCAGGTAGAGGACAGTAAGAAGAGGTTAACAGCCAAATGTTAAGATTTTTTTCCCTCCATCACACATCTTAAAGCTTTGTTATTTTTGGGCAAAGTCCCTTCCAGAAAATACATGCCACTGGCAGCCCCATAAGTGTGTATGAGAGCATCAGGAATCCTCTCTGACTGTGAAAGTCTTCAGGATGATGTTTCTGAACTAGGAAAAGAATTCTGAAAATATTCAGAGTCAGTTGTCCCACCATGATCATTGGCTTTCAGAGAGGCAGAAAGAGCTATACCCCAGGCAGTTGCTCTGAGCTCTGAGAATTGGATCGGAAGCAATTTCCTGGTTCTGGCCTCTAGATGAATGAAAAAAAATCAAGTTCCTTTGGCACCTGCTTTGGGAGGGAGATGCTCCACAATCTTGTCTCTATTCAGAATCAATTTAACAAGGTATTGACATTCCTGGATGGAGGGAAGTGGCCAAAGACAGATTGACTGGGCAAGCTCTAGGAAAACGTGGAGTTTATATTTCAAGTGACTACTGGAAAGGGGCTTTTAGTGAGCTCACCCACACCTGTCTGGGGAAAGTCTTCAGTGTGGAGATTTGAGATGTGTTCCTGCTGGAAACTTCCCAGCCCTCTTCTCCTGGAGTGCAAACCCCTCTTCCCTGGGGTGAGCCCATTTTAAGCAGCTTGGCTTCCTCTTGCCAGCCACAAATGTGGGCATGAAGCCACGTGTAGTTAATCAGAATATCTCCTTCTTCAGGCTACAGTGATTGGGTCAATGGTGCAATCATGAACCAAGCCAGCAATCAGAGCTCTCTCTAGGATTTTTCTACAGAAGCTCTTAGAAAAGATGATTCTCCTACTGACGTGTCTTTTCAGGACCATGTGACTCCACGGTTGCCAATGGCTATGTTTTCCATTACATCATGCGAGCCAAACACAGAAGAAAGGTCAAGAGACAGAGTTCCTTGACACAGTCTAATTTGAACTCCTGGATCCAGCTATATCTGAATCCCAAACTTACTTTGAGATTTCCTATGTCATGAACCAGTATATTCTAATTTTTGTGGAAGCTAGTTTGTGTTGGGTCTCTATCATTTGCGACTCAAAAGCATTCTAATACAGGTCCAATATGCAAGGGGTTAAAGCATTTTGTGTGGTTTCTCTGACCCGTAATCTCAGTCTCCATCTACCTAGTGGCCAGAGTTCAATTCAGTTTAATTTAATTTTGTTCCATTAAATTCCATTTGATTCCATTGACTCTAGTCAATTAGATTCAGTTCAATTCAATTCATTTAATTTGTTTTGAGCACCTACTGTATACTAGGAATGCAGAGATGAAAAAGTGTCCACCTTTACTCTTCAGGAGTTTAAGTTGATTTATAAATAGTTGCTGACCAATGTGATAAATGTTCTTATGTGCCAAGTGCAGTAGGACCAGAGAGAAAAAATGAACTTACACAATTCTGATTTTTAAAAATTTATTTATTTATTTATTTATTTATTTATTTATTTATTACTGTAATAGGAGCCAGTGTGGTTTTATACTCAAGAGCAAGGGAATTGGGACTGGGTAGATTCACCTTCTACTGTTTTTAGCTGGGTGACTTTCAGTGAAGAGGCTTCACCTATCTGAGCCTTACTTTCCTCATTTGCATAATGGGGATGATAATAGAATCTATGCAGTCTTGTGAAAAGTCAGTGGAAGAATGAACAAGTCAAATGCCTGGCACATAGCAAGTACTCAATAAATGATCGTCACCTCCACTTGCTGCTCTGCCCATCGGGACTGGTGGTGGCAGAGAGCAGTGGGGGTTAGTGACAGAACTCTCTCTACACTGCCGTTGACACACAGCCGTAAGACCTTGCATACTTCTTAGCACATAAAAGGTGCCTAAAACAAATTTAATAAGCATGTGTTGAATGAAAAGTCATGAGTTGTGGGTGGAATGGAAGAATTGGGAGCAGACAGAGGTCCAAGCCCTCAGCAGGGGAATGAGTGTTAATGTTAGTGAATTTCTTCTTATGGGGGCGGTTAGGGGTGCAGTTTGCCTGGAACCATTTGCTGGAGGGATTGGCTTGGAGAGGCACAGTGGGCAAAGCCCTTGACCTAACATTCAGAAAATGTGAATCTACATCAACAAATGCAGGCAGGTGATGGAGATTCTAGGAGGGGTGTCTAAATCCACTGAGGAGGGTCACTCAGTCCTTCCTCAGAGCTCAGAAAGCCTCTGGTTACTCAGCCTCCTCCTTGGGAGAAGTGACAAGTAGCAGAGGTCAATAACTCAGCACAGCAGCCTCACTTTACAAAAGGGGAAACTGAGGCATGGAGGAACTCATCCATGGTCATCCATCAGGTTAATGACAGAGCCAGGCAGGGACCCATTTGTCCTGCTACTCAGCTGGGTGCGTTCCACCCCACCCTCACCCCAGAGATTTTCATGAGAGCTCATTTTATTCGCACTAGACCTAGAGGGATACGGAGGCAGAGGTGGGGTGGGGCAGTGGGACAGCTTGAGTGAGTCCTATACTCTCCGACAGGTCTTTCTTCTCCCCACCAGCATTTCCTTACTTTTTTAACAAGCTTTTCTTCATGTTTCTTGGCCGCACAAATGTCTTCTTTTGAGAAGAGTCTCTTCATATCCTTTGCCCACTTTTTCATGGGGTTGTTTGTTTTTTTCTTGTAAATTTCTTTAAGTTCTTGTAGATTCTGAATATTAGACCTTTGTCAAATGGGTAGATTGCAAATATTTACTCCCATTCTGTAGGTTGCCTGTTCACTCTGATGATCGCTTTTTTTGGTTTTTTTTTTTTTTTTTTTTTTTTTTTTTGCTGTGCAGAAGCTCTTTAGTTTGATTAGATGCCATTTGTCAATTTTGGCTTTTGTTGCCTTTGCTTTTGGTATTTTAGTCATTACGTCTTTGTCCATGCCTATGTCCTGAATGGTATTGCCTAGGTTTTCTTCTAGGGTTTTTATGATTTTGGGTTTTACATTTAAGTCTTTAATCCATCTTGAGTTAATTTTTGTATAAGGTGTAAGGAAGGGGTCTAGTTTCTGTTTTCTGCATATGGCTAGCCAGTTTTCCCAGCACCATTTATTAAATAGGGAATCCTTTCCTCATCGCTTGTTTTTGTCAGGTTTATCGGAGATCAGATGGTTGTAGATGTCCAGCACTTATTGTAACAAGTCTTGCCTTCTCCAATTCAGCTCCTATACCAAGGGACAAACATTCAAGTTTGTACAGGGGCAATTCCTATAGAAAATGAGAGAGCCAGGCACAATAGTAGGGAATGGTGGGGACTGTGTCTAACTGGAGAGTTCCTGCCTGTTTAAAAGGAAGAGCTGCTACTCAGCTCGTATCGATGCAGCTACATGAGAAAAGGTGGGCTTGGTATAGCCAGATCTTGCAATTTTCAAGTGCAGCCAGAGATGGAGATTTTTGTATACAATTTACTGTTCAGAAAAAGGGCACATCTGCTGGGGGAATTAGCCCATGGCCCTCAGTTTACAACTCTTAGTGGTGTCTCCTATCCATTGTTGACCAAGGCCTCAGAGCGTGCAGAGAAGCCCTGTGGATAGAAAGGGAAAAATGGAACCAGCCAGAGGCCTTGGCATGAAGTCAGCAGCTGGGAGGAAGGGGCCTCCACAAAGTTGCTGAGTTTCTGAAATCCCAGGCACTCCATGGTGCAATTTTTTTCTGCTACCCGTAACAGCCCTCCACCAGGCTCCTGGATGCTGACAGCCCTAGATGTGGAATTTACTTTGAAATGCTAATCGTGGGGGAAAAGTGATATTGATGTTGCTCACTAATTAAGGGCTGGCCTATTTTAAATTTTGGAGGGCTCCTGCCTGTCTCCGACCTTGGCAGGAGGCAGGGAGGATGCTATTTTTATTAAATCAGAGAGATGAATCAAATAGCCTAAGTGGACAGGGAAGGCGGAGGGTGGAATCACAGAGGCGTGGAGACCTATGAGTTCTTCACAACTCATTTACAGAGACAGCAGGGACACGGATCTCACAACATTAGCACCGGCGCCATCTCCCTTCCAGGGTGGCTAATCGTGGTGAGGGGACAGCATAATAGGTCAGGCAACAGGGCCTGGCTTTATTGGAACTGAAAGCTGCACAAGCAGACTGATGAGAGTGGTCAACTATGATTTACAAGAGGCCTCATTTGCAGATTGTCTCTGCAGGGTCTGAGTTACGCTTAGAGACTGTTCAGAATTAGTAGCTGCCAAGACGGCTGTGTTCATGGCCTCTGAAGACTGGCACCCTGTTAGGAAGGAAAACAGGGGCTCAGAGCTGTCTCCCCACTTCCCTGTGCAGAATTTACTTGTCTCTGGATCTGTACTGATAGAGGATGCTTACTGCAGGCTGGGCAGATGGTGCTCTGTTTGTTTCTACTTCACAGATGAAGAAACTGAGACCTAGAGAGGATTACATGGCAGATGAGCAAAGCTGGGCTTTAGACTCAGTCTGACTTCAGGTTTTAAGGTCTTAGCCCCTTGTTGTTATAGTTTCTTGGTCTCTGTTCAGTGCCTGGCACAGAGGAGACAGATGCTAGATATGTTTATTCATTCACTCACTCATTTACTCTTTTACTCACTAATGCATTCGTTCACTCACCAACCTTTATTAAATGCTTCCATATGTTCTCTTATTAGATCCCACAAAAACCCAGCCAGGAAGCATGATTCCCAAGTTACAGATGATGACATGGAGATGGAAGCATGTTAACTGACGCTGCTCAAGGCCACAGAGCTGTAAGCATTGACAGCAGGAGTCCCATCTAACCTTTTGGCCTTGATTCTATCATTTTTACTACTATAGAGCTTTGCACTAAAATTTAAGTTCCTTAAAGGCAGGAGAGGGATGTCATATTAATTTTTCATTCCCCAGGGTGCCTAGTGCCAAGCTGAGCATGCTCACTCACTCATTCAACAGACATGGATATGAAATGCTTCTGTGGCTGTGTCATTATCTGTAACATGGGAATCTTGCTTCTTGGCTGGGTTCTTCTGGGATAGGGATAGAGCTGTTAGCTGGTGGACATGGTCCTACCCTTTGGAGCATGCGTCCTGGCAGATTCACAGACAGGCAAACAGACAGTGATAGAAGCAAGAGATGGAGATGGGACAGGGTTATGATACTCCAGAGAAGGAGCTTTTAATTTGTGTTTGTCTCTCACACCCAGTGCAATAGTGAGTGAGAGGTTGGAATCAGGTCAGTTGGAACCTGGGAAGGAGAGGTAGGGTCTGAAGGTCACAGAAGTCCCCTTTGTATATTAGAGTGGTTACAGGTATAGCCTTTGGATCCAGACAGGTTTGAGTTAGAATCCTGTCTTTTTTATTTAGCAACCCTGTGTCCTCAGGATAGCTAATCACCTCTCTGAACTAGGCTGCTCCTCTGTAGAATGGGTATCCTAATACCTGCCTCCCAGGACTAAATGAGAAATAGTATATGACATGCTGAGGGCAGTGGCTGTCGTGTCAGTTGAACTATAGCTATTGTTACTGTTATTGCCATCACTGGACTACTATGACCATCTCCTTTATCAACTCTGAAAGCCACCAGCCACATTTATAGGCCTCTGCCCCTCTTGTTTGATTCTTCCAGCTCTTTCCCTCCTTGGCTGACACTGACTGACACTTGCTCTGTGTCTGATGCTGAGTTGGCCCCAGAGAGGCCAGACAAAGAATAAGCTGAGAGCCTAGGTCTTGACAAACGTCTATTAGATCGTGCCTGAATGACTTCTTGGTTCACCAGAAGTGGGCCTGAGCTGATGTGTGTTGATTAAAGGAATGTATAAAATAAATGAAATATATTTCTCAAAAAACTGCAAAAAAGGTCTCTGACTCTGTGGTAAAATGAGCGGTTCGGACTCTAGAACACAGTGGATGTCTGAATATTAGCAGCTCCCAGTGAACCAGACCTACCAATACTTACACCCTTGTGCTGTCCCCTCCCCTTGAATCTGGTCTGGCCCTGGGACTTGCTTTAACCAACAGCATATGGCAGAAGAGATGCTGTGCCATTTCCAGGCATAAGGCTTGCAGAGGGCTTGCGACCTCCATTTTTGTGTTTTTGGGAGCCCTGAGCTGCAGCATCAGATGTCTGGCTATCCTGCTGAAGAGGCCACATGGAAAGGAATAAACCATGGAAGTACACAAAGAGAGAAAGGCCTGTTGCCCCAGCATGCCAGCTGGGCTCAGCCTCTCAACTGTCCTTGCCAAGGCACCAAAGATGTGTGTGTACCATCTTGGATATTTAAGCCCAGTCGAACTCCCAGATGACAGTAGCCCTGACTGACCTCGTGAGCCAGGTCAGCTCAGAAAATTGTGAGAGACAACAGATCACTTGTTTTAAGACCCTGCATTGTGAGGTGGTTTGTCAGGCATGCAGCCAGATAATGGACAAAATGCTGTAGGCCTTCCGAGAAAAGAGAAGGACCCAGGATGTGAAGGAGAAGAGTTGGGGGTAGGAGGGCATTCTAAAAGAGGTGAGGAGGTACAGAAGTGTGAGTCTGACCAAGAGAAAGTGCCTTTGCTGCGGAATATGGGAAGTTCTGAAGGTTGAATAAGCCAAGGTCAGATCAAAGGGGTGTTGAGACCCAGGCAGATATAAGGACAATGGAGATGATAGTGAGTGAGCTAAATCTTCAACTTTCAGGGCAAAGGGTCAGTAGATAATTATAAAGCTGATAAATTAAGAAACTGAGGTATAATCATGTTGTTTAGGGGTGGGAAGGTAATGACTGCAAGAATTAAAAGCCTTTGGGAATAGGATTAGAGGTGAGGGAGGAGATGACAGTGTCTCATCATAAGCTTTTCTGCACTATTTTGTTTACCTTGTATGTGTATTACTCTAATAAAAATTTCAACAAGTTGAGCACACACACATTATTTATTTATTTATTTATTTATTTATTATTATTATTTATTTTTGAGACAGGACCTCCCTCTGTCTCCCAGGCTGGAGTGCAGTACATGATCAGAGCTCACTACAGCCTCTACCTCCTGGGCTCAAGCCATCCTCCTACCTCAGCCTTCTGAGTAGCCAGGACTACAGTTGCACACCACCATACTCAGCTAATTTTTTCATTTTTTATTTTTTGTAGAGACGGGGTCTCGCTAAGCTGCCATGGCTGGTCTTGAACTCCCAGCCGTAAGTGATCCTCCTGTCTCAGCCTCCCAAAGTACTGGGATTGCAGGAGTGAGCCACCAGGCCTGGTCCCAAAATAGACTCCTCTTCTCCACATTTCCTGGGAATTTTCTCTCACCAACTGCCTGTTACTCCTTCATTTCTCTCATTAACCCACCCCCTGAGGGCAGGGACCACATACACTCTCATTACATCCTCATGCCTGGCATCATTCTTAGCACACAGAGAACGCTCCATATATTTTTGCAGAAAGACAAAAGTAAGGGGATGGAGCATGTCGACCATATGGGTTCAGGTCTTTAAAATGAGGGACTGGCCTAGGTCAGAGTCTTTTAATGATTTTACAATTTTTGCCATATCCATGCATCACCTGAACCTTTACTAGTCAGCATTTTTTCTGAGGTGATTCACCTTTTGAATACTTACATACAATTATTTAAAAAGAAAACGACATTATCAATACCTTCAGCGGAAAACCTGCATCCCTTGCTGTGAATGGAAGGTTGCCATAGAAACAAACAAGAGGAAAACAAAAGAGTTAGTGAATTCTGGCTGGAGACTGTTGCCTGCCCAAGGGTCTTCCCTGGGGCCTGATGCTCTTGGTTAAATCAGGACAGATTAGCAAGTGTGAGGGGTTAAAGACCTAATCAGAAGGATTAAAGGAAATTGAAAAGGGAATGATTTTCTTACTACTCTTTAAGATCCCATAGGGGGTGGCTTTCTTGAAATGTTATTTCATGCCCTGCCCCCACCCCC
Source organism: Homo sapiens (assembly GCF_000001405.40). Lineage (NCBI taxonomy): Eukaryota > Metazoa > Chordata > Mammalia > Primates > Hominidae > Homo > Homo sapiens. The sequence goes on from NC_000012.12 coordinate 108,033,498, forward strand.
AGACAGCTAGGGATGACCACTGCCCTTTGAGAAATACTGGCTCAGGAGACTGACCCATGGTTTCCTGTAAATTCTGTCTAATCATGGAGTCTTGCATCCTATTGGGAGTGGTTCCCTTGGATGTCCCTGATTCCCAGGGCTCTGGGAAGGGCACTGTTTGCCCATTGTCTGAGTTCTCCATCTGGAATTCCATGCCTTCCCACTGGACTTCTGGTCAGTTGGCAGAAAATAGTATCTATGGCTCAGCAACCAGATGGAGCTGGAGTGTCCTGTATCTGAATATAGTGGTGAATGAAAAGTCAATGGATCTCAGTCCGGAGTTCATCTGGTGTGGTTGAATTGCAGTTTTTGCTCTTGTCCCAGATGGGATATTCATTTTGTGCCAGTCACATCAGTTTCCTGTTAATGCACTCACCGGCTCCTGCAGGTAGGAAAATAGTTGGTTGCATAGAGAGGGGTGTGCTTGTGACATTTTCAAACCAGGGACTTAACCAACCACAGCCACTTGCAAAGGATGTGGGCACTTTTGTTTGTGTGTCTTCCTCCTTCCTTACCCCCGATTCCTGACAATTTTCTGTTGAAATTACATACAGCATATTAATAATGATGCTGATTATTCCCCTGTCTTTCTGCTGCTTGGACCAGGGACCTTTCTGCCTCTCAGTAGTTAGAAAGATGTTAAATTCAGATGGAAACTTAATCACAAGGCATTTAAAGGTCAGCTTTTCAGGGTCATTGGGGATATGCCAGGAGTCTGACTGGGCAAAAGTGTTTCTCATTCTGGGTCAAATTCCTTGACATCTCTTCACCTTGGTCATGCTTTGAATTGACTTGACGTATTTTCCTATAAACAAAATTATTTCATATTGATGTGGACTTTAATTTGATTGACAAGCAGGGATCTCTAGTGTATGACCCCTGCTGTCACTCAGGAAGTCTCAGCGGGAACCTTCAGGGAGAGAATTCACCCTGAGGGAAGAGATGGCTTAACATGATGAGACTACTCTGACAGCAGAGCCCAAGTTGTGGGAGAGTGAGGATCCTGAGTATGTCATGGTGACTGTTGCCCAGATCTAGCCCCAAGCCAGGTCAGCCCAAGAGGAGCAGCTTCTTGAAGCTCTGTAGCACCTTGATGCCCAAGCAGCAGCACTGAAACCTCTCCGAAATGGGTGTCATACACAGGGGAGAAATCCATTCATATCCTCCTCTTCAGCCTAGGCCAATGGGCAACATCAGCACGAAGAAAGTTCGGGATATCGGAATGTTTCAGTGGAAGAGATGATGGTCCCTGTGGAAGAAGAAATAATGCCTGGTGGTTGCTGTGCCCAGTGGAGCCATTTAGGGGTGGTGCCATGCCTGGGGGCGATTTTGGGGTACACTGATATTTCCCCAGTAAAAATTGGTAAGAGGGCCTGTGTAATGGCCCAGTGACCTGGATATCTGCACTAAGCTCAAGAGAGAAGAAAACTAAAGCAGAAAGATAAAGAAGCTGCTTGAAGAAAGTGAATGGGCTTGCAGATCAGGCAACTGATGGGTTTCTCAAAGTCATGGCACTACAGGGTTAGCCAGAGAGAGGCACATAAGAGGGCTTGAGAGAAGGCAAAGCTTCCCGCAGAGAGCAGCCAATTAAAAAGGATAAATTTTTTAAGCCAGAAAGTTGACGTCCAGTGAACAATCAATGTCTCATCTTGAGATTGTCTCAGAGCACAAGCCAGAGAGAAAGAGACCAGATCAAAGGGGTCCTTGGACAACAGGCTTGAGGTATGAGAGGCCATGCAGTCATATGGCAGGGGTGGTGACTGGCACCTGGTCCTCAGGTGACTACACTTGGTGAGCAGCCCAGAGAGGGCATTGCTTTCCCAGGAATGAGGGCTTCTTAAAAGAGGGGCTTCCCATTCAGATGTTGAGGGGCAAGGTAGAGGTATAGCAGCAAAGGAGGAACTTAGCTTATATCTGGAGATGACAGACCAAAGGTACGGAGTGAAAAATGAGACAATGCACCAATAATTGGGAGCTCTGATCTAACCTGTGTCAGGGAAATGATTTCTGCCTTATAAACAGCCACATCAGCACAAAGCACACAGAAGACAGGAGGAGGAAGAAATCCCATGAGGAAGATGTGGAATGTTAGATCATTGTTCACCAAATATCCACTTTGTCCCTCATCATCAGGGGAGAAGTGTACTTCCCACCTCTTGACTTGGGCTTGGCCATGTGACTTGCTTTGGCCAACAGCAAGTAACAGGACATGATGCAAATGGAAGCTTGATGTGTATTTGTGCAGTTGGGCTTGCCGTCTCTTGCTCCTGCCTTTGGCATGAGTAGAACATGCCTCTCAAGGGTCAGGTTGCTGGTCTAAGGAGGGTGAGAGACCTGTGGAGCAGATGTAGATCTGGCCTGTCCTGAGCCCAACCCAGCTGACCCCAGCCTAGATCAGCCAAACCCCAACCAAACTGAAGATGTGTGAATGAGAAATAAATGCTTAGGTGGTAGAAGGAGAACTTTACCGGCTTCCAGACGCAAATGCTTGGAACCCTTGTAAAACTCATGTCTGCTACTAAGCATGAAGTGTGTCCCACAGACAGCCAGCCACACTGGACTTGAGTAGACAGTTCTGGTGCCTCTTTTCACATCACTCTCCTTTCCCTGGGGTTTAAGAGTCAACGCTTCCTGGTTTCATATCCTTATTCCAACTCTTTATAGATTTGTGACTTTGAGCCTCAGATTCCTCATCTGCAAAATGGGAGTTATGATGACCAACCTCAAAGGGCTGTGAAATTCAGATGGGATAATACCTATAAAGCATTTTGAAAATAACCTGGCACATAGTAAATATATTTTCAACAAATAATAGTTAATAATTTTCTTTCTTTCTTTCTTTCTTTCTTTCTTTTTTTTTTTGGTGGGTGGCACTCATTACTCAATTGCACCCATTGCTTTTGGATTTTACTCATGGCTCATTCAGACTTGGGGGCTTGAATGCCTCAACTCATGTCTCCTTGCTGGTGAGCCTGACCTAGCTTTCCAAGTGCTGCTTCTGGATAGAAGGAGGACACGGTTCTGAAATGCCCATACATTTTGAGTTCCCGCTAGAAAAGCCTCAGTTTCTGGGAGGTGGAGATCAAATGTTGAGAAATAAGACATGAATCATGGCTTTCCAGGGAGGTTCAAATCCAGGTTCTAGGCAGTTGCCAAGGATTACAGAGAGTGGAGTCAGGTTCTGAGTGTCTTATAAAGCTTGATTTTTTTTCTCACTTCTGTGAGTCTGAACCCTGTAGGATGAATATCAAAAGCACAGTCAACCAGTCAGGTACGTAAACACACATGCTGGATGGCTGGAGGATTACACCAACCTGGGCCAGAAGAGAAGGTACATCCATTCCATTTTGCCTGCTTCAGCCTCAGTGAGGGAAAGGCCACCATCTCACCTTGCCCGGGAGACCTTGGCTCTCTCTAAAGTGAGAAGGTTATGGGGGTTTTGTTCAGATCTGTGCTCTGTGGATGGAGAGGTGTGTGGGAAGGGCTGCTCATCAGAGGCACAGAATTGTCCCAATGAGAGTGTAATTGAGAAAGAGAAAGACAGAGATATCTCTATACTGCAGTTATCGATGCTAAGATGCATATTTTCCTCCACATTTTAACAACTCTGATATCAGGATGTTTCTTGCCATGAACTGACTGAAAGTGTTGTGTCAGAATAATTGATATCATTTTCTTTTTACCAGTGGTTCATGCAATAACAGTGTGTCTTACAACCTATGGCATCTTAGATTTGGAAAATATGGTCTTTTTAACAGCTCATATTTCTGTAGATTTGCTCTGCGCTAAATGGGGCAAAGCTAGTGGAATGACTGAAAGGTGACCTCTTAAACTGAAATTTGTTAAGGCTGGACACAAAGCGCAGCCAGCATGTGCCAACATCACCCAAATCCCATACTGGAATCTTCTTGATAGCTAGAGTGAGGCACATTAATTGCACAGAATCTAACACCTCCCTGGATATCCCCTACTCTTGAAACGGAGCTCCACAGGGAAAGAACAGCTTGAACACAATCCGCTGACAAAGTGGATGTATTGAACAGATCTCAACCCTCACACTGTTAAAAAAAAAATCCTACTGCATTAGGAAACACCAAGAAATTAAATCAGACTGATTTGCAAAGGCCAAATGAAGTCCCTTCATCCTCCACAAAACATGGTTAGAATGCAACCATCTGGAAAGATGAAGGCTGAGCAAAGGGATGACCAGAAGCTGTAAAACCAAGGAATATGGGAAGCAGAAATATAATCCAAATCATTTATTGTCACTGTTGAATGTCAGGAAAGTGCTACTTCTCTGTGTCAATATGCCTTGGGGTAGGTGAGTTCTCTGGCCCACAGGTTACATTGCCCCTACCCAGTCTGCACCCCACAGCCCCTTATATATACTGACTATAGCACTGGTCACACCCTGCTATTGTTTCCCTGCCCCCATGTCCTGTGATCTCCTAGAAGGCAGAGCCTGTGGTGGCCATCCCTGTGGACATCGAAGGTGCCCCATCAACCTTTGTTGACCACACACACGCTTGATGCAGAAGAGGGCACAGATGAGACTTAGATCTTGCTCCTAAAAGATGAGACTTAGATCTTGCTTCTAAAAGACGACATTCCAGGACCAACGAAGGGAATTATTGCATCATGGTTGTTGAACAGGAGAATCTTGTTACCCTAAGATATATGATAATGAGGTTAGATAAACAGCTAGACTCAAGGAGGGGCTGGGGATATCTGAGGATCACAGAGCCCTGGGCACTGTGAGAAAGGCTTCCACTTTGGAGACTGAGGCACAGTGAAGCCTGTGTCTCCAACAGGTGGTCTGCGGGGAGCAGCACCCTGGCCTGGAGGTGGAATCTGACCAGAAGTTATAGCAATGAACATTCATTGTGGGGAGTGAAAATATATATATATATATATATATATAATATATATTAGTTATATAATATATATATAATATATATATTATATAAAAATATATATAATATATATTATATAAAAATATATATATAATTTCATATATAGATATATCTACATATGAAGCTGCAAAAACACAAAATCATCTAGTTGTGTCCCCTGTGCTTAGCACAGTTCTCAATGCATAGCAGGTGCTCAACAAATATTTGTGGATTGAATTGTCAAATGTATAACACAGGTAGGGATGGGGAAGGGGCCTTTCCAAAATGCTTCTTTCACAAGATCTCTTCTTGCCCAGAGATTAACTTGCAGCCACCACCACCACTGACATTTTTGAGCTCTTCCTCTGTAGCTAGTATGGAGTCTCAGTGCCCTCTAAGTTGAGAAAGGAGGCAGAGAACTAGCTTGCATAAAGCCCTTCTCTCTGCTGCTCCTCATTACTCAATGAGTTGGGTCCTGTTATTATCATTATTTTACAGATGAGGAAAATGAGGTGAACTAACATATCAACATCACACAGCTTATAAATGTGTGATAGACATACAAACCCAAGTCTGCCTCCATAACACATCACACTTTGCTACTTCTATCTCAGAGGATGGGAGGAAACCCCCTTCTCGCTAAAACGAGACCCATGATAATGACATTGCAATAGTAATACTCTACATTCCCCAGCATGTTCCACTGTCATACCTCAGGAACATGATGGGGTTCACATTCCCTTTGAGCACTTGTTTTATGATACACTATAGGAAGAAAGTGTGTAAATAGGGATATTTCCCCACATTTCAGCCCCTGACAGCCTCTTTCACACCAAAGAAGGAGTTGCTAAACTGATTAGTCAATGCCTGGGATACTGACTAGACTGCATGTTATTGGTGGGTGTGATTACTGGTCCTTAAAGACAGGACCCCAGATCCCACCTTTCTCTTCGTCTTCATGCTTGAGTCCATCTCCCTTTAGTCTATGCTCTCTGAATATTCAGCTTGTCAATAAGTTAGATGAGGACTTACTTTGAAGATCTATCTATCTATCTATCTATCATCTATCTTATCTATGTAATCTATTTATCTATCTAATCATGTTCTCATCTATCCATCTAATCTATCTTTTTTTTTTTTTTTGAGATGGAGTCTCGTTCTGTTGCCCAGACTGGAGTGCAATGGCTCGATCTCAGCTCTCTGCAACCTCCACATCCTGGGTTCAAGCGATCCTTCCACCTCAGCCTCCCAAGTACCCGGGATTACAAGTGTATGCCACCATGCCTGGCTAATTTTTGTATTTTTAGTAGAGGTGAGGTTTCAGCATGTTGGCCAGGCTAGTCTCAAACTCCTGACCTCAAGTGATCTGCCCACCTCGGCCTCACAGAGTGCTGGGATTACAGGTGTGAGCCATTGCGCCCGGCCAATCTATCTTATCTATCCGTCCATGTAATCTGTCTTATCTATCTATCCATCTGTCTATCATCTGCCTATCTCCATGTCTCTCTCCCTCCCTCTCTCTCCTTTCCTCTCACTCTCCTTCCATCCTTCCTTTCTTTGTCTTTTCTTGTCTCTCCTACTCTCCTTTCCCTTCTCCTTCCTTTCCCCTTTTCCTTTCCCTTGCCTTTCCTCAGCTCCTTTTTCCTCTCACAAATGCATGTAGGCCTCAGGAGTTCTTGAGTACCTGGTTCCCAAATCTTTCTCTTAACCTGTAACACTCCTGATAAATTGATGCATTTTCTCATTCAAAACATATTTATTGGGTATCTACTATTATCAAGGTCCTGGGAAAAAATTATTCTGTGTGAGTTTAATGAAAAAAAATACGGATCTCATGAAGTTTACAATCTTATATAATGTACAATTTTCTTTGTTCTAGGCCGATTAAAACCCATTGAAAGCGCACTAGGAAAATCTATCATCAAGAAGTGGTGAATTGCACCTTTCTGTTTTCATGATATAACAGATACTCACAAAAGGTATAAAAAATTCACTTGGACTAGCAGCGGCTGAAAAACTCCCATTTTAAAGCTGGAAGCAGATTTCTGCCTGGCAAGTGGTTGGGATTTAGACACCCTTTGGGACCAACCATTCCTTTGTTCTAGAAAAACCACCTGAACAGGTCCTTTAGCTATACTAAGTACAAAGCAAGTGGGTGTCAATTGTTTCAAGGAAAGCTGTGAATTATCAGCTATCTTAAATGCAAATGGTTAAGCCAAGCTCCTCCTAATTCTCTGGAGACTTTGTTTTGATTGGGGTGAGTGGGAGTATATTTCTTTTTTTCCGGTATGGATTTGGGTGGCATCGTGCAGGAGGCCTGGATCCCACTGCTTGTCTTCAAGGCTCGCTGCATACTGGTGACAGAGCGTAGCTGATGGGGAGCTGGATCTGAAGCCCCGGTGGCTGCAGGAAAGACGGGAAAGTCCAGCTTAAAAAGTATGTGGTCCAAGTTGAGGGATCCCAAAATGTGGACTCTGCAGTTGAGGTCATAGATATGGTATAGTAAAAAAATACACACATACCACATAAGCTGAAAAAAAAAATACAAAACTGAGTCTATTAAGTTGTCAAGCAAAAGAATGCCAGTGAGAAATTTCACTGAGCAGGTCATTCACAGAGGGGATGAAGTCAGGAGTTTTAAGTGCTAAAAAGGGATTTTCATGGCACTATCGTAATGAGGCGTTGAAAGCTAGTCCTGTGGACAGGAAGAATGAGCTCATCAGTCTGCACACAGATCCACTGGTCAGGAAAGAGTCTTCAGTTACTTCCAGTGAGGGCTGGCATGCAGGGTCATCAAGAGTTTGTGGTCTTTTATCAGCTTCAGTTAGTTACAATTTGTGATGAAACACAATAGTCAGTTTGGGTATCTCTAAGCAAGCACTGATATAAGTGGAAATGTTTTTTTTGACAGTGCTATTGAAGACTAAGTAAGTCAGGCTTCAGGAAAGGTGCTGATGCTGGCAGATTTTATTCTTATGTGCCAACTCACCCCACTGGTATTGATGAAGCTTCTCATAAAGGAAGTTGACCACTCTGGGACTGAACATACAAATGGACAGTGGCCAGATCATGTATAAAAATAGAACTCTGACCTACAACTTCTGCAGCAAGCAACCCAGGAAGCCAAACCACAATCTCTGCAGCAATTAGCCTTAAACAGCAAGGACTTGATCAATAACTGCCAGGTTCCCTAATTTTCACCCCCACTTCCAATTTAGGACCAACCAGGAAAGGAAAATGAGCTCTGCTAACCACTCCCATAGTGTCTTATTCCATTTTTTGTTGCTACAAAGGAACACCCAAGGCTGGATAATTTATAAAGAAAATTTATAAAGAAAATGAGTTTGTTTGACTCACAGTTCTGCAGTTTGTACAAGAAGCATGGTGCCAGCATCTGCATCTGGTGAGGGCTTCAGTCAGCTTCCACTTATTGTGAAAGGTAAAGGGGAGCCAGCATCATGTGGCAAGGGAGGAAGGAAGAGAGAGAGGAGAGGAAGTGCCAGGCTCTTTTCAACAATTACATATGGTGGGAACTAACAGAGTGAGAACTCACTCATTACCGTGAGGACAGCACCAAGTCCCATGATCCAAACACATCCCTTGGGCCTCACCTCCAACCTTGGGGTTCAAATTTCAACATGAGATTTGGAAGGGACAAATATCTAAACTATATTCCGTAGGATGCCTACTTTTAGTTAGCTCACCTACAGCTTCCCCATGCCAACAGCCTCCAATCAGGGCACACCTGCTACTTTTCATGTTTTCCCCATAAAGATTTCCCACTCCTTTGCCAAATGCATGTAATGGTGGTTGACTCTCTTGCTATAGCAAGCTATGAATAAACAGGTTTACTTTTCTCTTTTGGGTGTCTTTTGTTTGTTTCTACAATTCCCACTGTTAAATTAGGGATAAGGAGGACAGTGAAGGTGGCACTTTAGACAAGGGGGTCTGGACCCCAGGAGTGCAGGTGTGCTCCAGGGCATCCCTGGTGGGGCGGGGTCAGCTGCCTCTGGCTCTTGGAGGCAGGACTGCAGCCAGGCAAGGGATAGCCAATAAAGGCCTCTAGGGTAGGCTTGGAGCCTGGGGTTCTGAGACAAGCCACCTCTAACAGCAGAAATAAATTGCACCCTTGATTGCAAATCCTTCCTGGATGTCCAGCAACTTCTTGACAAACTTAATGGCCAGGTCTTTCTTGTACCATGGAAGATTTAAAATAGGGATTTGCTTCCATATGGGAATGGACCAATAAAGGGCAAGGGCAAGGTCAGGGTAGGCCTTGAACAAGAAAAGAATGCTAGAAGGCATCGGGCTTCCATATCTATCATATTGAAGAACCTAGGTACATCATGTGGTCTCTAGTGATGAGATGTTGCCCTTGATGTCAGAGGTAGACTTCTTTCTTGCATGACAAAGATCAAGTATGGTGTGATCACCCTTGAGGAACTTCAGAAATATCTGGGGGAATAGAAAGTCTGTGAAAAGACTATAAGTCTGGCCAGTAGTATGATTTATAATAATAAGGGCAGAGGGCAGGCAACTAGCCAACAAGAGGAGATGGCTAAAGCCATCCTATGAACCATTACACAGTCATTAAAAATAATGTTAATTGATTTGCAAGGCATGAGATGATTCTCACAATACATCAAGCAGAAAAAAATGACACAAAAGTTTGAACAAGATCGTGCCATTTTTATAATGAAAAATGACTACAGGTATAGAAAAAAAAAAGATCATGAGGTTATTTACCAAAATGTTGAGTTACAATCTCTGTGTGGGGGCCTGGGTGACTTTTACTTACTTCTATTTGTTTACTGGCATTCTTTGAAATTGCCATAATAAATAGAAATTATAGATTGACACTAGAAAAAGCAAATGTTATTTCAAGTGCTGCTTTAACAATGGAGCTGCTTTGTGTCTTCGAGAGTGGGACTTGACCTTACCCCTAACACTCCCGTGTGCATCTCTCTGGGCTCTGCCTGTCTGGCCAAAATGCCAGGAAATAAACACAAACTGCAGCTTAAGGAGATCTGTTCAGGAAAAAGCAGGGAGGAGAGCCAAATTCTTCATCCAATCCTTCAGCCAACTGTGTCTTTGTAATAATAAAAATGCAAAGCTGTGAGATAGGAGGGATTTGAGGCTCTGGGGAGAGAAAATGAAACAAAGAGACCGTTTTGGGTGTGGGGGCTTACTGACACAGCCTGGGGTGGTATGGGCTTTATACCCCCTGCAATGATCTCAAAGGCCCACTTCAAATTATATTATTCATTGATATGAGTGATGGATATTTTCTCTATCTTATGTAGGTCGGATGCGGATAAAAAGACAATTTGGCTATAGCAATTGAGATAAGATCAATGTACTTGAAGCCCCCAACTACTGAAATCATGCAGCTTTCACTGCTGAGTTTGCATGGAGAGGCAGTGGAGCAGCTGACAATGGCTGGCCTAATAAATTTCAGGAATGTGACCTGTCCCCATCCACACTGATACAGCCACTGTGAGCACCCTGCCTCTGGCCAGCGATGGTGCAAGTCCCTCCTGTCACTCACAGAGAACACAGCCAGACTCTCAGCATGGCCAAGGCCCAGGGCTGTGCAGAAATGGTGGGGCTGTATCACCCAGGCTCTGATGCCTGTCTCCTCTTCCCTGGGTCAGGATGTCTCATAGTGTGCTCTTTCTAAGCCTCCAGTGGGCTGTCTTTGGTGCTCTATGAAGGGAGCAGAGTTTTGGCCTTTATTATTACATTCTGCTGTGCAGTTTGATCTTGGCCAAATACATGTTCCTCTTAGGAAAATTTTCATTTTAGATATTCTTCCCCCACCAGCCTCCCAAATTTCATTTTGTGCATTTGTTACTTCCACGAGGAAAAAGCAAACATCCCTTTGGAAACCGCCGAATGGGTTTGTGCCATGATTAGATCCATACGATGGTCAGGCAGAGCCTCCCAGAGCCACTAAGGACAGTAAAAGCCCCAAGAGACAATCGGCAGCTGAGGCAAGTTGAGGTGAAGAATCCACATTTGGACCCAAAATTGTACAGGCAGCAGTTTTGACAACGAGCTAAAGATGTGCAGTGGAGAGAGAAACACAACTGGCTTTAGTTTATGTCTTTCTATAATTTTTATGTCTGCATTGGAATTAGTTCCTATTCCCCCTCTATCTTACCTGAAAAGAACTAAACTCTGATAATTAAACTTAAAGTGTGCCGTATGTATCCACCATGTCACATACATACATTTCCAGTTCTTGGCACTTATTTTTAAGTGGTACAATTATTTATTATACATGGTAATACATTTCTTTGTTCTCTGGTACCTTCTAGACCCTAAAGCGAAAAAAGCCTTTAATAAAAATTTGAATACTGCATTATTGAAGCAGGGAGGCTGTATTATTATAGATTATAGAATGGTTGGGCTTTGGGATGTTTTGATGAATCATTGCCTAATATTTCTCTTCTTGTGACACATATATGATTATTAAATGTTGTCTGCTCACTGATTAACTTTGTTTATTTCCTAATTAGGCTTAGGATCAGCTGTCTTGTGGTTATAGAAATAATTGTTTGATTAATGTGTGGGAATTTACATTTTCATTATACTTCTGAATAAGTTCTGTCCTAATTAGCCACAATGCCCCATGCTGATCTGGGGCACCAGAATTGTAATTTTCACCCATTAAGTAATAACTGTTAAATTGATTGGTGATAATTGGGTGTAGATAGTAAATACACATTAGCAGAATTTAAATTATATAGCAGCTACTTCTTTCAATTTGCTTCCAAAGTAGCAAAGTTCTAGAGATGGGCAGTCATGATTTGGATAGAGTGGGGCCTCACATACTTGCCAATACTCTTTTTGATCAGTAAATTCCATAAAGTTTCAAGAGGAGCTCTAGAAATCAGCCAATCTGCTGGAATTTGATGTCTGGGTTTGTGAATGAGTGTCTCCCCAAGTTTCTCCCTAGGCATCTCTCTTACCTTAGCCTAGTGCCTGTCTGCTACTTTGTTAAGAACCCTCAATGGCCCCTACAGAGCCTGCTCTTGGAGGCTTAAAATATGCTGGCTGGTGCCCAAGAATCTTCAAAATAGGGTTACTCCTTCATAGCCATTCATCATATTAGGCTTTCTGCTGTGAGACCCACTCAAGGTATCTCAGGAAGAAAAGCAGGATACATTGTAAGAACATGTGTGGAGTGGAGGTAGATCCAGGGAGTCCACGAAGGTATAACTCAGGGTATCTCTACCTGTCTCTATTTCTGTCTCACTACCTTTCCCTTTGTCTCTGTCTCTCCATCTCTACCTTTGTTTCCACTGCTTTTCTCTTCACCTCTCTCCTCCTTCATGCACACCTTTTCAAGTCTCCTATCACACCACCAACCAGGTTTCCTATCTTCTTTGTTGTTTCATTTCCTTCGCTGCCACTCACGGCTTTGGTTTGCTGTGGTTCCAACTCAACCCCCTCACCTTCAGCCCTCACCAGCTACCCAGCCTCTCATTTCCCTGAGAGGGGAATGTAGACCTTGAGACTTTGTCGTGTGTTAGTCATTCGCCTGCCATTGTTTGCCATAGACATCTACCAACTGGGCTAAAATTTTACTTAATACTTTTTCAAAAAACCATTTTTTATACATCTTAATATTATGTATCATAAAGGGAACTTTATATCAGTATCACAAATGGAAAACAAGCATTTTCCTGGTATACATTACAATGAAAGCATAACAACTTTTTTTTTAAGTCACGTATTCTCACCAAAATAGTTTCATGTCAGGTACCACCCACTGTGTCCGTCCCGCCTTTCGGGAAGCAGTTGTAGCCCATCCTTTTCAAGCTGCCACAAGTATTGTTTGTCACTAGCCTCAGGATTGGTTGATCTTCAGTCATGTGACTCTGCTGGTTTAATCAGCTGTGACTGGAGTTGGAGGCTGTGGTCACGTGATGTAGAACAATGCCGAGTGGGTACTGGGCTTCCCTGAGAGAGTAAGATGCTTCCAGCAGCCAGGTTTCAAGCCACATGCTCTGCGTACACGATCACAATTCGTCCTCATAGCAACTCCATGAGGAGGGCGTTAGTAGCCCAGTTTCTCTGTCCTTTAAAGCCTAAGAGAGTGGGATAACTTCCTGAGGGTCAAAGGGACCCACCATATGAAGCCCTGGGAAGACGCTGCTCCATTTGGGACCATTCTCAAGCAGTTCTATAAGAGCTGCATATCTTTACCTAAAATCTAAGGTCAGCCACAATGGCCTCCAAAAACAGAACTCCTCTCCTCCAAATTCCAGAAAGGCAGAACTTTGAGCGAGCGAAAGGCCATTTGCAGTCGGCCAGGGAGGCTTTTTGCTGAGCTGAGAGGAAAAGCGTTTGGGGAGTGCTGAGAATGCTCAGCGCACTGTCTCGTACAGACTCCTGCCTCTGTTCCCACTCTGATTGCTGATGACCACGCCGTCGGGATCTGGCGTCCAGGAGAGGACGGCTCTGGCTGTAGAACTTGCTGTGTTTCCTGCATTTATGGCTGCACTGACCCCAAAACAGCGCTCTGTTCTCTGCTTTTAATCTACTCTGACTTTGAAGGTTCTATTGAGGATGTTTCCTGCCTGTATCTTGTTTCTCCTCCCTCAGCACAGCCTCCAAATTAAAAAACGAAACAAAACATTGATTCTTTGTGAAGGGAGCTGAAAATACGGTAACCACCGTGTAGATTGTCGACTTTGGAGGGAAAAAGTGCAGCTATATATTTGGCTGTGGTGACACAGTGCCTGACACAGCACTTGACCCGTGGCAGGCTCTCAGTTATGATTTGTGAATGGATGGATGAGACAGAATGGTTGGTGGGGCCTCTGGAGTAAATAGCCAAGGAGGGAGAGAAAATTCTTCATTTTTAGTAAGTATGTGACCAAAATAGAAGAAGTCCAAAATAGAACAGAAAACCACAGAGTATTTTTTCTGATGACATCAAAAATATCTACTTCCCTTGAAGGAAACCAGAATCATCTTTAGTTCCGGCAGAAATTCTTTCTTGGAGGCTCAGCCAGGAAACATTGCATAATGTAGTTATGTAATGCTTTCTTTCCAAAGTGTATCTCTCAATGGTCTCCATACTTTCCAAGGGACCCAGTATGGAGTACAGATTGACAGGGAAGGTTCTGAAGTCAGATTGCTTGGCCTTGAAAGCCAGCATTAGCTGGCTGGTGACCCTGAACTACAGGACTTAACCTTTATGATACTCAGATTCCCCAACTGTAAAATGGGGATTATAATAGTAATTACTTTGTAGGAATATTGTAAAGAATAAAGGGGATAATTCATGTGAGTCATCTAGTCCAATGCCCAGGGCTCAATAATTGTTCATGGTAAATTTCTACATCTCCCTTTGAGACTGTCTGAGTTTCTGGATTTGATATACTCTTTTCCTCGAAGGGTGGAAGGATGTTATATTGTGACCTTGCATTTCAAGGTCACTGGCTTAAATTAGGGAGGGTGTTGGGCATGGAACAATGGAAAGGTAAGAAAGAATGTTCTATCCTGACTTGAGCCTAGGGATTGGCTCAATCTCCCCTTGAGCTGGGGTAGAATTAGTGCCAATCACACCATGTGGTTGCTACATAATGGGAAGGTGGTAAATCCCCACACCAAAGGGAAATCAGGAGGAAGGAAAGGGAAGATATGTTTGGGAGGCATCCTAGGTGGCTTCCCCCAAAAGCCAATCCTGAAATAAGGATTCCAGTGCAAGTGATTTGTTCAGAAGATGATTTCAAGGAAATAGAGGAAGGAGATTGGGCAACAGGTAAGAAACAGAGGACAGTCAATACAGGGAGGGCAGCTGGAGATTCATCCCAGGGAGAGTTACTGGGAAATGGTATAAAACACACACCAATGAGGGACAAGGGAGCTAGGGTATCTATATGTCCACTCCCCTCACTTATTGGTTGAGGGCTGCTGCTTCAAGGAGTGAATTCCCCAGCACTTCTTGCTAGCATGCAGAGCAGCCTTCTGAGGTTTGTGGAGGGGGAGGGGAAAGCTACACATAGTGGTGTAGAAAGTTATCTGAAGCACACTGGAGTGCTTGGATGTGAGGGATGTAGGTGAGGAACTGGCAGTATCTGTTACAAGTGGTAGCCTGGAGGCGTCTAGAGTGCCCTGCTGGACATGGTTCAGCCGAAGAATATGAACTTCATCTTTGTGGTAACAGGGAGCCATTGAGAATGTTTTAAGCAGGTGGATGGCAGTCAGATCTGCATTTCAGGACTACATCTCAAGAGCCGCAATCAAATCCCAAAGAGTTTGTCAGCCTCAATTAGTGCAGAAATCATGCCTCCTCCTTGCTGTATGGTTCAGTTATAGAGAAAGCTGAGAGCCACGAGCCAGAAGGAAGGGATTTGGTAGGCAGTAGAGGCATCAAATCATTGCAGCCCAAGGCTCTCGGTGCCAGCTGGAGCAATAGCTAATTGCAGAGTTGTTTCAGAAGGCGCTGAAGTTCCACAGCTGTCCCAGACTCCCAGAGACCAAGCAAGGATCTGTGTAGGCTGTTGTCTCCAGGAACATACTTGCTGGGGACATGGCCTGGTTCCTAGCAGGAGGCACAACTAGGACATCCTTCTACATGGGTCAGGTACATCATCAGTGCCTGAGTTCCCTGAGGCCTCGAGGCTAAGGCAATCGAGGCAACATGACTACCACTGGGGACAGCCCTCTTACGTTCCATGAAATATGGGGTGAGAAAAAAAATGGCTATTTTTCCTGTTTGGTCTAAATTCATTTTTTTTCCCCAGTGTGAAAGTATGTTTGAAAGGAGGACAAAAAGGCTTCCAGCCAGCTCCTCTTCCACTAAGGAAGAAAGGGCATAGGATTTGGGCACAAGAAAACTAGAATGTGGTCCTTCATCTGCTGTCAAAAGTGATGTGACTCTAGGCTAGTCACTGTGCCACTCTGGTGGGCAATTTCCTTACCTGTTAAAAATGATGGAATTGGGGCCAAGCACAGTGGCTCACACCTGTTATCCCAGCACTTTGGGAGGCTGAGGTGGGAGGATTGCTTGAGCCCAGGAGTTTGAGGCTGCAGTGAGATAGGATTGCATGACTGCACTTCAGCCTGAGTGACAGAGCAAGGCTCTACCTCTTAAAAAAATTTTTTTAATTAAAAAAAAAAGATGGGATTAGAATGAGTGACTGAGCTCAAGAGCTGTGTCATCCACTAGAAACATTTACAAGCCACAAATGTGAGCCACATGTGTAATCTTAAATTTTCTGGTAGTCACATTAACAAAAGCAGCAAAAGAACAGGTGAAATCATTTTTAATAATATATTTTATATAAGCCAATGTAGCAAAAATATTTTAATTTCAGCATGCAATAAACATAAAATATCATTAGTGTGATATTTACATTCTTCTTTTCCTACTTCTTTTCCTACTGTGTCTTGAATTTAGATTGTGGAATTCTAACATGAACTATGCTTTTGCTGCATCAAGGGAGTATAGGTTAAATATGGGAGAGAGCTTCTTGTGAGAGTAGATATTAAAAATGCAAACACTGGGTCCTGAAGGAGGCTGTGGAAGCTCCTCCACAGAGGAGACAGACAGAGCTGGGTTCCAATAAATCCTGACCCCACTACTTACTGAGGGTCCCTGGGCAAGTCACTCTGTCTTTCTAAGGCTGAATTTTCTTATGTGTCAAATAGTTGGGATGATATCCTATGGTAGTAATATAGGTTAAATAAGATAATATATGTAAAACACTTAGCTCAGGGACTGGCATATTTTAAGCGTTTGATTATGACAGATATTACAATTATTCCATTGAGGCAAAATTAAAGCCAGAATTACATGCATTGGGAAAAAAATTATACGTTCTAGGCCTCAGAACAAGGATAAAAAACTGTAACTCTAGACCCTCATCGTCCCCATCATATGTCCTGCAAAATGTCACTCATCAGTCAGTTTCTCTCTATCTGAGCCCTGAGGAAACCTCGGAAGCCTTCTCAACACAGGTAACCACTGTCCCTCAATCTGAACTGGCAAGTGGATCAAATTTATGTGCCATCCCTGCATTAGCATTGCGTGATAGAAGGAAGATGTTGGAATCCCAGGAGGCAATGCTAAACAATGATAGAAAATGTGGGGAGGAGGAGAGATTGACAGAGAGAGACAGAGAGAGAAAGAGAGAGACAGAACAAGAGCAAAAGAGTTTTCAGCAGGGAGCTGGGTGTTTCTTTCATTTTGGGGTCAATGTGATTGAGCCTGCACAGGACTGCCTGTGAATCCTGCACTGACTGGAGCGTGGGTACCAGAGTCTCTCTGCAATGCCTTCCAGGGCCAGACATTTGGGCTGGGGTTGAACCCTGACTATTCCACCCAGGGAAGCAGTTTCATTTAGAATTCCAAGGACCCAATTTATCTGTGTCACACTACTGGCTCCTCCAAGGCTGATAACAAATGGCTGATCATTTCCCCCACCACCCTGCTTCCCAATCATCGCGCTTGCTCAGCCCCTCAGTAATGGAGGGTCTCACACGGGAGAATTGCAGAGCCAGCCTATCCATCTCCTGCTGATGGAGGGGAAATCTCCTTACAGAGCCTCAGGGCTTCTCTCACAAAGATGAGAGAAGGAGAATCAACTTGACACTCCTTTCCCTCTGAGACGATGTGGCAGAAACAGGAGGAGGCTTACAACAAATTTAAGGGAAACACATCCATCTGTCTTTTCTTTGTTTCTTTATTCATTTGACAAATATTTTCAGGGGCCCAGGGCAGTTTCTTAGGACCAGGAAGGATGGCATTGCAAAGATGAGCAGGCTTGGTGTCTGCCCTCAGAATTTACAGAACACCAATGACTAGAATCCAGCTCCAAGCTTGGAGTAAACAGATGAAGAAGCAGAAGAGAGCCCTGGGGTGGCTATGGGGGACATCTGTGGGTTTTGTTTCACCCAGAGAGGCTTGTTGAGTGCTTTACTGGCCATTTGTTACCAGGAAGGAGGAGATTGCAAGGATGGATCAGGCTTGGTGTCTGCCCTCAGAATTTACAGGACACAGGAGGCAAGTGGAACAACCACCACAATCTCCTAAAGAAGGTCATATTGCCCCTTGCTTGCAACTCTAAAAAGCCTTCTGCAGGTCTCGGAATAAAATTCAATCTCCTGACCTTGGCTTTAAAGCGTGATCCACTGGGCCTCACTTACTTCTTGATCCTGTCACCCGCTTCACTCCAGCTGCAATGGCCAAGAAGTTCCCAGTCTCTCCTCAGTTCCTGCCTCAGGGCATTTGCACTGCCATTCCTCCTGCTTGGGGTGCCCTTCCCTGACCTCCCCTTTCTTGTTCATTCCTTCTTTTCATTCATATCTCAGCCCAATGGCCTCTCCCAAGAGCAGCCCTATCTGACCCCCAGCTGACAGTTGCCACTCCTTAGCTTTGATCACACTGTCCTGTATCATTCTCTGTAAAGCACTTCTCCCTGGCTCGTGTTTCTTTTTTGTTTGTTTGTTTAGTGTCTGTCTCACCTCCAAAATGAAAGCTCCAGGGACTCAGGGACTTTGTAGTTCTTGACTCTCCCCTGATCCTGACACCTAGTAGAATATCTGTAAATACTGGCTTATTTAGTGAATGAATAAACTAATAGTGAACATTTTTGAGCACCTATCAGACAGGAAGAACGTTTCACATGAATTAATCTCATTGTCCTCCTAATGTTCCTAAAAGGTAGGTGGTATGATTTTCCCCATTTTACAGTGAGGAAACTTAACTCACAAGAGATTGACCTGCTGGCCTGAGTGCCCAGCTGTTGGGGGGTGGAATCAAGATTCCAAGTCACGTCTTGGGAGGCCAAGCTCTTAACTCCTATCCTGCACTCTCTTTTCATGTAGACATGCCATGTATCTCAGTCCTTGTTCTTTGTCATGTCACTTGCTCAGGAGGCTTCTATATACCCGTGGCCTCCTCTAACTGGAGACCTGGTTTACGTTTTGAGTCCTGGCTGTGACATATGAGGAGCTGCTTAACCCTCCCAAAGCCTCACCCTCCCCAAACTGATGAGACTGAGGGTTCTGCCGTGGGGGTTGTCAACCTAAGAAGCTCTGCTATCAGCTTCCACATGACCTACAATAGAAACCACTAAGTAGGCCAGCCTCCCAGGTTTCCTTTCCTTTCACATGCTAGCATCCTCTTCATTCTATTCTGCATCAAAACATATGAGTACAATCACGGCAGCAAACTATGCTTTAAAGTTTAAGCAATTTGGCGGGGGAGGGGTGGTTGTTGACTTTGTCTCAGTTGATTCTCACAAGAAGATAGAGCGCATGTTTAAAATTATTTTTATTTCTTAGTATGTGTGTTAGTCCATTCTCACACTGCTATGAAGAAGTACCCAAAACTGGGTAATTTAAAAAGGAAAAAGGTTTAATTGGCTCACAGTTATGCATTGCTGGGGAGGTCTCAGGAAACTTACAATCATGATGGAAGGCGAAGGAGAAGCAGGTACCTTCTTCACAAGGTGGCAGGATGGAGTGAGTGCAAGCAAGGGAAATGCCAGATGCTTATAAAACCATTAGATCTCATGAGACTCACTCATCATCAGAACAGTATGGGGGAAACCGCCCCCGTGATCCAGTTACCTCCACCTGGTCTTGCCCTTGACATGTGAGGATTACAGGGATTATGGGGATTACAATTCGAGATGGGATTTTGGGTGGAGACACAGCCAAACCATATCATTATGGTTCAATCAAAAATAATATTTTAGAACATTTAGAAAATGAATCAAGATGGAGGACTTATCACAAAAACTTCCTTTCCTCCTGACCCAAGTTCCATAAAAACAAGAGAAAAAAATAATTTTAAGCCCAATCTATCTACAACTTTGTTGTAGGGGTGGGGAACTGGGTGTTTACCATGGACCTGTCATTTTGAAGAACTTCTGAAAGACTTAATTTAGATGCTATCTGGTCTATAGAGAAGGGACTCCAGAGAAAGCCACAGCCTAGAATCCTGCTCCAAGCTTGGAGTAAGTTGATGAAGAAGCAGAAGAGAGCTCTGGGGTGGCTTTGGGGGTGATTTGTGGGCTTTGTTTCGCCTAGTGAGGCTGGTAGAGTGCTTTACCCTCTTCACTTGGGGTCAGTAGAAGTGTGGACATCAGGACTCAAGTGCAAGCGGTGCCCTAGGCTGCTCTGAACTCCGGGAGGATGGGACCTCCCACATGGAGAAACAAGCAGCTGATACTCCCCACCTACTCTGCAGCATCTCACCCCCAGATACCTCAGAGGCAGGTGTCAGGAAATAGAAACCCTGCTCATAGGCATGCAGCCTGTACCTCAAATACGAAGATGAGCATAAACCCAGGATCTCTAAGTATTTGAAAAAGAAACCACACCTGAAAGAGAAAAATGAATGCCCAAGTAAGCAGAGATCACAGAGCAAACAGAAGATGAAAGTCAAGGGTGAGAGAATAATAAGATAAATTAGAGTATGTCAGATTTAAAACATAATGCAATTATGTATTTTTTTCTCATTGCTAAAGGACATTACTAATTGTAGGAAGTGTAGAAAATACAGAATACACATAGAAGAAAACTAAAATCATTTGTGATCACAACGTTGAGAGGAAATAAGAAAATGTATTTTACTGTCTTTCTTTTCAATCTTCAAATACATATATGTATGCATATATAAATATATGTATGCATATCATTTTTCAAATAATTTTTATACAAAAGGTATCACATTTTTTGGTAACCTGTTTTAGAAGAACTCTCAAACTTAATTTTATATCCCATGTCATTAACCACCTGTCTACATGTGACTTTTAACACATACACGCTATTACACTGTATGGATTTACCATAATTTATTATGCCAATGCTCTATCTTTAGACATCCAGATTACTTCCAACTTTTCAGTTATGAATAAACAATGCCGGAATAAACATCCTTGAGCATGAGCCTTTGAGATGGTAGTCTTTAATTGTGTGTGTGTGTGTGTGTGTGTGTGTGTGTGTGTGTGTGTGATAGGGTCTAACGCTGTCTCTCAGGCTGGAGTGCAGTGGTGCAATCTCAGCTCACTGCAACTGCTGCCTCCTGGGCTCAAGCAGTTCTCCCACCTCAGCCTCCTGAGTAGAGACCACATGTGGGCGCCACCATGCCCAGCTAATTTTTTTAAAATTTATTTTTGGTATTTTTTTGTAGAGACAGGGTTTCACCATGTTGCCCAGGCTGGTCTCAAACTCCTGAGCTTAAGCAATCCATCAACCTTGACCTCCCAAAGTGCTGAGATTACAGGCATGAGCCACCACACCCAGCCTGAGATAGTAGTCTTAAAAGCCTATTTGAAGTATGAGATATCATCATAACAGTTAACAGCTAACATTTTTAAAGCGTGTCACATATGGGCAAGTGACTCCAAACTAGTTTTTGTGTCTCCAGATTCCATGTTTCTGCCTTTGCTCATTAGTGCTGCCTTTATATACTATTTGGAATCTGAATTGTTGGCTTTGCCACTTGCTAGGGGCAAGTGTAACCTTAGGCAAGTCACTACAGCTCTCTGAGCCTCAGTTGTATTATCTGTAAAATGGAGATGACCATACTATTGAACTCACAGGCCTACTGTAAGGATGTCATGAGGGACTAAAATAATGAACACAATGCTTGGCATATGGAAAGAACTCAATAAATACTAGCCACTTCTCTTAGTCTGTCCATGGAGCTAATCAGGAATTAACATTACTCTTTCATTCACACAGTGGGGAGTGCTTAACCAGCCTGTCTTGAGAATCTCTTTGCCAACCACCCTGCAACTGGGATTTTTCCTCTTTTGGCCTTCAAATGCATCTAAAGAGGAGGGAGTTGGTGGGGGGGAGGTGGGGGTGACAAAGGTCCCAGCATTCCCACCAGCCTCCTGTTGGCTGCAAAAATCCTATAGGAATCTGCTTCTGGAGGGCTGGCTTCCCATCTGGCTGTAATCACCCGCCTGCTACCCGAAGCATGAGTGCCTCACAAATTAGGGAAATCAGAGGCTGCCTCTGCAGACCATGCACAGGCAGCAGGATGCCGAGTGGCTGCAGAACCACTTGCTGAAGCTAAAATTAACAAGCTTCTTGGGTTGAAGGTTTTAATTAAAAAAGGCTAGAGAATTATTTCCTTAATTCAGATACTTCTTCTTAGTAATCACTTTCCCCTTTGCTGCCCTGAGATTTTTATCTATAGCAGCCTGAGCTATACAGTACCCAGTGATGGAGTTTGGGGCCTTGAGTGTTATATGGAGTGGGTGCTCTTCAGGGATTCATTTTGGGGCCCCAGACCTCTTCATGCTGTGCATTTCCTCTTGGCCGTTGCACCCTCTCCCATGATTTTAGATATTAGCCATGTACTGTTGGCTTCATACTTTGGAGTTCTCCACGAGTCACTAAACCAGTATGTCCATAGGTAGGGCAATGGGTCTAAAATATTCTCCTTTTTTTCCTCTTTTCCCCAATTCAGTACATGAAGTACTGAATACTCAAGCCAAGTTGCTGGGACACCCAAGATTCTTGGGGCAGAAACTGTACCTTTCCAGTATCTCTCCTTCTTACCACTTCAGAATGTATCAGACAGATATGCAACTACCAGTTCCTGCATTTTGTGGCCTGAGGGTGTTTCTTGTCACTACAGCCCACTCTGCCGCCTATATGGTGGCTCAGATGCTCTGAAGAATATGTGCCCACCTCCCAGAAGCAGCCCTCAGCTAATACTGACAGGAGCTGTGTATACTCACCCCAGCTCCCTTGCTGCTCAAGTGGGATTACTCTGGGGTGATGTTCTACACTGTCTCTCACAGCTCCCTGGCAGGATTAAGCACCGCTTTCACACAGTGGTAGCTGAGCAGAAAACATTTCCTTTATTTGTTGCTTTCTCTTTTTTTCTTTTTCCCCTTCTCCTCCACCTTCACCTTCTAAATGTAATTCTCCCTCTTGAATCCCTATCTCAGGGTCTATGACTGGGGACCAAATTAAGGATTCTCCTGTCTCCCTCTGAGCTACTATGTCCATCCATCCTCAATGCCTGTCTCCTTCAATATCTCACCAAACTGACCTCTTCTCTTTCTTCTTGTTGCTGCTTAGTCTAAGTTCTCAGTATCACTCATCTGGACCGCTGCCCAGCCTCTCAGTCTGTCCCACAGCTTGTCCCCCATCTCACCCCTGAAATCTATCATATAGATGCACTCAAGACTATCTTTGTAAAATGAAACCTGATCATGCCATGCCTCTGCTTTATCTCCACAAGGGCTCCCCATTGCCTCTGGGAAACAGACTAAATTCCCTAGTTTGACTCACAAGATCATCTGTGACATATTCTAAAGCCTTCCACATGGTATTCCTGGAGCCTAGCATGTTCAGCTTCCCCCGGCCACCCCCTTTGTCAGGCTCCCCTACTGATGCTCAATAACCACCCCTTAGTGGAAGCCTTCTCTGACATGTCCTCCACCCCAAACTGAATTAGGTCACTGTATTTTTTTGCCAGGACTGCCATAGCAGAATGCCACAGACTGGGTGGCTTCAACAACAGACAATTTTTTCTCAGTTCTGGAGACTAGAAGTCCGAGGTCAAGGTGTCAGCAGATTGAGATTCTCTCCTTGGCTTGCAGATGGCCACCTTCTCACTGCATCCTCACATGGTCGCTCCTCCTTCTGTGTGTTGTCTGTGTCCTAATCTCCCCTTCTTATAAGGACACCAGTTGTATTGGATGAGGACCCACCCATGTGACCTCATTTTAGCTTAATGATCTCTTTAAAGGCCCTATCTTCAAATACAGCAATATTCCGAGGTCCTAGGGGTCAGGACTTCAACATGTGAATGGGTTATGGTGCAGGCGGAACAATTTAGCCCATTATAGACCCTTCTCTTTTTCCCCACAGCCCTCACGCCACATGTTCCTCTAGCTCGGAAACCCTTTATCATAATGTCCTGTGCACTTATCTTTCTCCCTAACTAGACTACACCTGTGAAGGCAAGGACCCTTTCCACTGCTGCATCCCCACAGTGACTAGAACCCTGCCCGGCACACCGTTAAGTACTCAACAGCTATCTGTAAAGCACATGCATGTAGTTGCCATCCTGGTTATCCTTAGAATCAAGTGAGGGGCAAAAGAAGAAGGACCTGTATACTCAGCTTGAGGCTGACTGTAGCTGGAAGACAGAGGTGAGATAATGTTGCATGGCCACACCACCATGCCCAGTTTCCCCTTTGGGACATTATCCCGTGGGTTTTTCTTTCTTGAGCTGCTCTCCCTATCCTCCTCATTCTGATATCTCACCCAGCTAGACCAGTGTGGTGAATATATCCAGCAGCACCCAACAGCCCTGCAAACCGACAGGCTTTCTTTGACCATAACCATCTCAGACAGATCAATGTGAATCCCTTCCTTAGCAGTTGCAAGGAAAGAGCAGTTAATCTTGCCCAGGGTGGGCCACCCTGCTTTAAAGGAATGAGTGGAGGTAGAGGTGCCTATATTGTTTCATGTCTAACTTCGACAAATCAAGTGAATTTTTTTTTTTTTGATAGAGTCTCGCTCTGTTGCCTAGGCTGGAGTGCAGTGGTGCGATCTTGGCTCACTGCAAGCTCCGCCTCCTGGGTTCACACCATTCTCCTGCCTCAGCCTCCCGAGTAGCTGGGATTACAGATGCCCACCACCACACCTGGCTAATTTTTTTTTTTTTTTTTTTTGTATTTTTAGTAGAGACGGGGTTTCACCATGTCAGCCAGGATGGTCTCGATCTCCTAACCTCCTAACCCAAGGCCTGTCTTGGCCTCCCAGAGTGCTGGATTACAGGTATGAGCCACCGCGCCCAGCCTCAAGTGGTATTCTTAATGACTTAGTGTGAATGTTTCAGAGATGACTTCTTTTTTCTCATTGATCCTTTCACCAGCTGCCATCATCCTTTAATTATAAGTCTCCACTTCCTTCCATCCTCTCTGACAAATAGATAATAATGATCTGTAAACAAACACATACGTGCACCAGGGGAGCAACTCTTGATAATAATTCTGCATAGCAGGAGGCAGGCAGGTAAGCAAAGCACGAAGTCACTCAGACTTCAGTTAGGATCATGGTTTTGCCATGCCATCTGATAGAGCGTTCTGTGCAGATGGAAATGTAGTATACCTGTGCTGTACAATAAGGTAGCCAGTAGCCACATGTGGCTGTTGAACACTTGACGTGTGGTTAGTGTGATTGAAGTACTGGATTTTAATTTAATTTAATTTTAATTAATTTAAGTAGCTACATGTGGGTAAAGTGGCTACTCTGCTGAAAAGTGCAGCTTAGAGACCAGTCATGTCACATCTCTGAGCCTCTTCTTTCTCCCCTGTAAAATGGAGATTAAAATCTCTATTGCATTAGGATAATACTAGTTGCTATTACAAACAGGCTATGTGGCATTAGAGGCTCCAACAAGTCGGAAGTTTGTTTCTCGCCCATGTAACAGTCTAGGGCATGCCCCCTCCAAAGAATATTCAGGGATTCAGGCTGATGGGGTTTGCTATCTCCAACACACAGACATTTTAGTTATTCCCATCTAGTCACCAGGAAAGGGAAAATAGCAGAATTCCAAAGCTAGGGGTTTTCTCTTAAGCAATTGAGGTAGAATTTGTAATGTCATTTCCGCTCTGCCAATTCTTGGCAAGAAAACACTCACATTACCACACGTAACAGCAAGGGGAGCTCAGAAATTTAGTCCTTAGCTGCGTCACAGTGTCCTAACTAGAATTATCTTAGTGTAGAATAAGGAAAGAACATATTTTGGAAGACAGATAACTGTATCTATTACACCTACTTTGGAGGATTGCTGTATGGGTTAAATATGTTACGTATGTGACACGGTACTTGTGTAATAGTCAGCTTTTGCTGTTAATAAGAAAACAACTCTACCGTTTCGTGTCTTAAGCCAACAATGCTGAGTGAGAGTTAGCAATTTGGGCTGTGTTCATGTAAGCAGTTCTAGACTCAGTTGATCTCAGTGTGGCTTCCATCAGTGCTGCTTCCATCAGTGCTGGGTCAGCTGGGGCTGGCTGATCTAGGATGGCCCTGGCTGGACCATCTTTCCTTGCTCTATTTAATTTTTATCCTCCAGCTGGCAAGTGACGGGGTCCAAGACAGTGAGGGAACACTCACAGGGCCTTTTGAGGTTTAGGATTGGAAATGACACCCAATCACTGCTGTCACATCCTATCAACTAAAACAAGTTACAAAGCCAATCAAGAATCAGGGGCAGGAAAACAGACTCCATCTTTTAATGGGAGGGGATGCAAAATCACATTGCAAAGGAGTGTAGTTATAGGGAGGGGAATAATTAGAGCCATTTTTGAAACAGTCTACTATAATTTGGTATACAATTTATTCAGTAAATGATGCCTAATGTTATTTTATTAATTCACTTATTAATTCTATATGGTCCCCTCATTCAAAAA
This sequence comes from Homo sapiens, assembly GCF_000001405.40. NCBI lineage: Eukaryota > Metazoa > Chordata > Mammalia > Primates > Hominidae > Homo > Homo sapiens. The sequence goes on from NC_000012.12 coordinate 108,059,848, forward strand.
TTTATTGAATGTTTACTATGCATCAGGCTTTAGGCCAAAGACAGTGACTGCATTTGGATGTGTTAGGCATTGAACTCTGTAAGAAGAAGTCAAGTTAACTTTTGTGTCATAAAAAGAGAACAAATAAACCTCAGAATAGATGCAGTTTTTCATTCTTTAGTCCTTGACGATGCCTAGTGTCCTCTTGTCATTTCCTGGGTACCAATGATGAAAAGGTACCTTGTTAACCATGACCCCTGTTGTTTTGACTATGGTGTGACCATCTCTCTGGGCCTGGGTGAATTACCAATGAGGTTTGCCACTTGTGGCCTTGTCTGCTGCAGGGAAGCACTTTAGGATGAACCTGGACAGATCCAGCATGAGCTGACAGAGCCTTTGGAGAGAGAGAATAAACAGCCCGCTGATTCAGAGGGCTATTAAAGGAATCTTTCTTGCTTCAGCATAAAACGACTTGTCTTGCCTGCAAGATGAATCAGAAGCATAAAGGGTGATGAATGGAAGTGATTTCCAAAGCACTGGGAAATATCATGGGCCCCACAGTGAAGTCACATCTGGTGGCTTCAAGATACGTCTTGTGCCCAATGGCATTCATCTCTGTCACTTCTCCAGGTACCTATGGCCTACTCCCACTTTCTTACTATCAAAGCCAGCAATCTCAGCTGAGAGCCTTATTGGGGACATGCTCTCCAGAACTGACAGCTCCCAAACAAAAGGAAACTGCAAAAAGAAGACCGAAGTTCTCAAGATAGGGAATCCTAGAAAGATAAGTGCTTCCAGCCCTCACCTTACTCTGCCTCACCTGTGTCTTGCTTTGAATTGCTTTGGGCATAAAATTGACTTATCAAAGGAGCAGACAGGGACCACTGCATCAAACAAGAATCACTTGGGAAGTCCCCCCAACATTTTGTTATGAAAAGTTTCAGACCTATAGCAAAGTTGAAAGAATTTTATCCACCCCCATTTTCTTTTTCATGCTTTATCACTTATCTATCAATTTGCCCCTCCTTCTTTTTTGATACATTTCAAAGTAAATGGCACTCATCAGTGCACTTTGGTAGGGGATTTTTTTAAATTGCTCATATCAGCAATCCATATTCAGGTCCCTGAATCACTAGCCAGGGGATCTGCATTTTAAATAATTATTAACCCCACTTTGCAAGTGAGAAAACAGGACAGAGAGGTGATAGGACCTGCACTACAAAAGCTGCCTAGGAGTTGAACTCCTCTCAGTCTCTTGGTCCAGAACTGCCTGGGTAGGAGGAGTTCAGGGCACCTCAGCTTAGTGACTATGTCTTGGAATTCCCCCTGCTCTCTTGCTTAGAGTATGGGACTTTGGCCAGACTCAGGCTTAGAGCCTGTGTTCCGTCTTCCTGGTCTAAATGTTCCTTGAGGAGAGGGGCTGTGTGTAAGACTTTGCTTGTAGCCCTTGCACCAAGAATTGTTGAACCTCTTGAAATCTGTAACGTGGAGATAACAATGATTTTCAACTCATGGGTTTAATGAGGTCATTCATAGAAATGTACAAGTGCTAAAAAGAAGTAGCTTTGTTATGATATTCATTAATAAGTATAGCCTTTGTAAATCTCAGTCTATAAACTCAGGCAAGCATGAAAATGTAACTGCATTTTTTCCCTATAACCAAACTCAGTTTTATATTGAGCACCTGTTTTACCTTAGAACCCTCAAAAAACACCCTGAGATGAAGATTCATGTACAAGTGACTTATAAGGAAGTGGCCCCAGGAAAATCTGATCAAGGAATAGGTGACTGAGAGCTCAAGGGATGGAGGCAAGCAAGGTCTCATGGAGGATAAGCTTTGCTCAGCCCTGCAGGGAGCTGGAGACAGTGATGGTTACCCTCAGAGTCTTTCAGATCAGGGGGCATGGAAGCTGGAATATTTGTATATCCCTCCCACATACTATCAGGCATTAGTTAAGGGTTGTCCTGGGGGAGTGAATACCTGGGCACTCTAGGTTCTCTAGGCAATTAAGCCTAAGGGGTTCTAGTAGCTTGAGGGTGGTCCTCCCACCACGAGATTTAAGTGCTGGCCACGCAGAGTCAAAGCACATAGGAAGACTGGGTGGATGAAAATGATAAGGTGTCTGAGGGATGTACGTGGAACACTAGTAACATCTGCTGCAGAGCCCATTCTGCTACAGCAGAAATCTAGTCCACTTGGGTTCCCTGGAGAGCATACCTTGTACCAAAGCATGGCAGTGAGATGCAGATCGAGTCCTTCCTTTCTAGTCTGTTTGTTCTGGCAACAGCTGCAACATCTTTGACCTGCCTGGCCTTTGTATGTCTACCCATCTAGGTCATTGCTGAATGAGTCTGCATTTCTGACCCAAATGACCTCTCAGCCCCCAGCCTGGCCTGTAAGAGCCCTTCTACTGCTATCACACCATTCTGAGATTTAGGAAACCCCATTCACAGGACCCACCTGGACACCTGGATTATTCTTCTGCTCCCACACCATGCTACAGCACTGGAGTCTCAGAAGGATGGGGTTCTGGTCCACCCTTTTACAAGGTACACCTGGGGAAGGGCTGGGGCAATGCCTGCTGCTCTCAGGTGCCCCAGCCTACCTGGGGGTGCGGCCTCACCACCAAAATCGGCCTGAGAGTGGGATGGTTGAGGAGTAGAGTTCTTTCTCAGGCTCCTAATACCATCTGAGCACTTTGAGTCTCTTCTTACTCTCTTCTTCCTTAACATCAAGGGAGCGTATCTAAATATAGGACATCTTGTCCTTACTAAATATTTTTCCACATAGGTTTTATGAGCAGCACAAGAGTGCTTCTCAAACTAGTGTATATCAGAATCACCTGGGGAACTTAATAAAACCACGGCTTTACATAGGTCAAATCTCCAAAGATTCTTATTCTGGGAAAGACTTGAAGACTCATGAGCCAGGGACTTGACTACTTTATTATGTCTACTCTTCTGTGTCAACTCTTTCTTGGGCAGAGGTGCCTTGCTAGTCAATTACTGTTTCAACGAAGAGAAAGATGAGCTATAAGCAAATGCTGTGGGTAAAACAACTTCAGTTAATATTCCAGAACACTATGCTACTTCACAAAGCTTTATCCTAATTTGTGAAGCCCTTTTTAAAAATTATTATTATAAACTCTTTGATTATTTAGTCTCCAAGTGCTCTCCTTACTTCTGTTCGCATGTCCTCATTATACAGATACCCCATTGTGATTTCTGTAATTTGGGGTGACTTTCTCTTCCCTTCTTACAGCAGCCTCTTTGCCTATTCCTCCTCACTGGATCTTTATGATAGAGGTGGGGGTAGACACAAATCCACATGGCCATGAATTCTTCTTAAAATTCAGATCGAAAAGTTGCTGTGTGTAAAAGAGACCACTTGCTTTGGGGGAAAGAAGGTGGCAGAGCACGGTGATCAAGATTGTGTGTTCCTGTCTCTGCTACTTTTTAGCTGTGTGATAACTCAGCCAAGTTTCCTGAGTCTTGGTTTCTTCACCTGGAAAATTGGAGTAATACTATCATCTACCACAGAGGGGCGCTATGAGGACTTAAATGAGCGAAAGTATGGACTGCTTTAAACAGAAAAAGTGTGCAGCTGTTACAAGTAACCATAAAGGTGTTTAAAATTGGGGTCTCAGCCTAGGGTTTATCCTGGTTGTTTTCAAAGTACCATTTCATTTGGTTCCCACCACTGTTCCATTTGGGTATCCTTCATTCCCATGTGGCTGCAAATAGGGGAAGGACAGATGGAGTGGGTTTGAGAAACAGTGGGAATTGGAAAGTAGTCGTGGGTGGGAGGCCAGTGAGAGTGAAGGTTCTTAGCTATCCTAGAGAATGTCCACTTTCCATTAGACCAGAAATAACTTTTGGGATCCCGTTGGCTCTGATCTGGCTTTGTTGGAAATGACACTTGCAAAGAGCAATGCATAGGTGGATGGTGAAGGCTTAGGTAATTTCTAATTTTACATTTTAGAGAAATTCCAGCTTGGGGTTGGGAGAAGAGGGAAGGGGAGTACAGAAACCAACTTTATGGTGGGTACAATTTATCAAGGACTACTATGTGCTAAGTTTTCTTCTAAGAACTTTACACATGCTATCTCATTTCATCCCTGCAACAGCAACCCTTTAGACTAGGTATCATCTTGACCACCATCTTAGAGATGAGGAAACGGCTTCAGATGGCAACCCACTCACATAAGTTCTATCTCTATTTAGCAACACAGCCAGGATTTGAACCAGTTCTGGATCCAGATCCCACATGCTCTTCACTGCTTTATGTGATGCCTTTCATCAAAAGGGAACCCCTGTTCTCTCTTCAGTCCTTTAAAGCAGTGGTCTTAATTTTTCTGAGGATCTGATGAAAGTCATGGATCCTGTCCTCTGAAAGCACATAAAATGCCCTGAACCACTGACGCTGTGCCTGTTAGGAATGCCCAACTTAATGCCAACTTTTTGCAGCTCAGATGTCTCTCTTGGGGTGTTACCCTCACCTTATAACCCCGGGGGGGTTTGGGGCAGGGAATCAGCAATGAACTAAATATGTGGGGAAAGATAACAACAGAATCATTCATCTGTTCATTGGGGTTACATTGTTATGACCTTGTCCCTGTCATTTTACCCTGCTAAGCCTCAAATTCCTCATCTGTAAAATAAGATGGTAACAGTATCTATGTCTTGGGTTTTGTGAAGATTTAATAAGATATAGTACATAAAGCTTTTAGAATGCAGTACATATCTCATAAGCTTTTAGAATGCAGCCTGGCACATCATGAGTTTTTATTAAGTTTTAATATTTGCTATGATATTAATATTATTAGTCCATAAATAATAGCCCTTACTGCCTTCTCTCTTCTGTTATTCATCACATTTTTCTTGAGTATGTATGTTGCCTCTTCAACAAGGCAGTGAGTTCTTGAGTGCAGCTAGGCTGCTTGGGATTGGATCCCAAAGTTATCCTTCTCAAACGTGTGGTCTTGGGAAAGTCTCTTCACTTTTCTAAGCCTCAGTTTCCTCTCCTGTAAAATGGGAATAATAATAATAACATCTATCCTAACAACATGCTACAGCAGTGCCTGAAACATAGCAAGGGCTAACTGCTTGTTAGCTATTATTATTGTTGTTGTAGCTACTGGCATTATTATCAGTAATACTATCCCACTAAGAGCTGAGCATGCAGATGGAGCTCAATAAATGCTGGTTGGTTGACAAATGATCCCTTTCAGGTCAGATAATTAGTTACACTCCAATCAGTAGATTTCCTCTTACCGGGAAGGAGCATGGGGCCTGCTGTAATACATAAAGCAGCTGATCCAATATCCACCCTAGCCCATCCAAGAACAAGAATCTGGGGTGGAAACACACACTGAAATATGATGCTCCCGACCCAATAAAAGTGTCAGATGGGCTGCTCTGAGCAAGTGCCTGATGAAGCGAATCTAACTGCAGCTGCAGGTTACTCCTCAGCACCATCGACAAGCTGGGAATCGATCAACTCAGCTAGAAGCAGAGGTGGTGTGGGGAGGTGAGGGTGTCCAGGCAGGCCTCCACTAGCAGAAACAAATTAATTATGTCTCCAGGGCTGCCTGGCAGGAGGGCCATAAATCACGGCGATAATCAATGTTTTTTGGGGGTGGACAACCCTGAGATGGACATGGGGGCTCCCGAAGAGGTGAAATGACCTGGATCCCAGCAGGGACATATTGCAAAAAGTCACACAGCCCCAAACCCAGCTCTGCTCTTTCTAGCTGTGTGACCTTGGGAGAATCACTTAACCTCGCAGGCGTCATTTCCTCATCTACAAAATGGAGCTCTTGATACCTCGTGGGGCTACTGGGAACACTAAGTGAGAATCCGATCATCTGCTACTGTCCTGTTCACAATGGCAGCCTCCTGTGTCTATCGTGCAGTTTAAGTGCAGCAGGTCCAAATTAAGATGTGCTGTAAGTGTGAAAGTCCACATCCAATTCCAGCGACTTAGCATGAATAAAAGGAATGTGAAAGAACTCATCAATGCTTTTTCACATTAATTGCATGTTGAAATTATACTTGGGACATATTGGGTTAAGTAAAACGTATGAACAGAATTAATTTTACCTGTTTAGTTTCATCTTTTGAAATGTGGCTACTATAAAAAAGAACAAGATTGTGTCCTTGCAGAGACATGGATGGAGCTGGAGGCCATTATCTTTACCAAACTAACACAGGAACAGAAAACCAAATACTGCGTGTTTCATGTATAAGTGGGAGCTAAATGATGAGAACACAGGGACACAAAGAGAGGAACAACACACACTGGGGCCTATCAGAGGGTGGAGAACAGGACAAGGGAGAGGATCAGGGAAAATGACTAAAGG